>NC_000010.11:79234004-79385519 GCF_000001405.40 Homo sapiens
TGGCCCTCCTGGAGACCAGGCATGACACTTCTAGGGACCACATCATCTGAGTCCTTGAATGCCAATCTAAGGAGCTTGAACTTGATCTTGACACCCCTGGGGAGCGAAAGAACGTTTTAGACAAGGGATGACATGGTCAGATTTGCCTCAGCAGGTAGAGGAGGGACTTGGGTGCTAGAGGCAGAGAACATAGTTTGGAGGCTGGTGCAGTTGCCAGGATGCCAGGACACCAGTCTGCTGGGGTGGAAGTGTGCCGTGTGTGGAGGGAGAGAAGCAGAGGTGACTCCCCAGCAATGCCTCGTGCCCACGCCCTTCCCTGGGCCTCGGAAGCTCAGGTGGTGACATGGCTGTTTTATGCTTGACTCTTGACTTACCAGTTCTGAGGATGGATGGTACACAGCACCTTTCCCAGGGAAAAGGTCTTAACTTTGGATTTCATTCTGAAATGAAAGTGGTTTTATGGAATTTTTCTTGTAAGTCCAAAGATAATACATACTATGTGTAGGACAATCAAGGAATACAGAAAATTATAAGAAAGTAAAGCTGACATCCCACCACTGTGGAATAACTTGGTGAATATCCATTAGTCATGCAGGAAACATTTAACATACTTAATAGATAAACATACTTAACAGATAAACCACAAATAAATATAGGAGAATGGAACCATAGAGGGCCTGCCACCTTGGAACCAGCGTCTTTGCCTTGACAAAATGATGTGTGTTGTAGACCTCTTGCCTGGCCCACCTGTCAGCCTACTCCGGCCTTTACAGGGAATTAGCAGGAGTCAGTTCAATAATGACATTTCTTCTTGGAGCCTACCCAGCCAGACTTGGGGAGGCCAGTGCCCCCGGCAGCAAAGAGAGGTATGGCATCTACACTAGATGTCTTCACTGGGGGAGAGGGGATTAGGGTCCAGAGAGGGACAGTGACCTGCACCTGGTCACACAGCAAGCTCCCAAGCCCCTTTCCAGGTAGCATCTGTCTCAGTTGGGGACTTGGCCTCCTGGGCCAAAGAGCACGCAGTTCTGTGAGCTCAGCTCTGCAGGCCCTGATTTCAACATCAGGCCTCCCACTCCTTGCCCTGCCCTGGCGGCCACCTTTGGATTTCTCCCAGACATTCCTGTGCAGCCTGTCAGCTCATGTCCAGAGCCCCTGGAGGTGGGGGACACCTGGGACCACACTGGGGAATGAAGGAAGCCGCTGGCTCCCCTCATCTGCCATGGACCAGGAACAAGGGGCTGGAAGGGAGCAGGCACCCGGAGAACCTCCTCTCACACGGGGTGGTGAAAGGAAGGCAGGAAGGCTGCACCGGGTGATGAAGGACTCCTGGCAAACTTTTCATGGGCTTGGGAGGTTCCTAAAACCGCGCAATTGCTGCCCAGAGCACACCGAGGTGCTCGGGCTTGCTTCTCAACCACCTCTCCTCCTTTTACCTCTCCTAGCACCCTACAGCAGGCCTCAGAAGCCATAAGCCCACCAGTACAGGGTCCCTTCTGCAATTCTCCATCCTCAGCTCATATGCCTCAGGTGACAGGCTGCTCCCTGCTACTCCCTGGCAGCCCTGACTGTCAGAAATTCCTTCCTTCTTTGAGCCCAAATCAGGTTCACCCACCCATCTTCAGGATGCATGTGATTCCCACAGTAGGTGAGGGAAAGAGCCGACAAGTCCAGGTCTAGCCCTGACCTCCCTGTGAGCAGGAGGTACCGGGTAGGATGGACCCATCCCATCAGAATCCCACACTGTGCTGGGAAAAAAGAGGCAACTGATGGGCAAGAGTCCTTTAGAAGAGCGTATCTGCCTAGCACTTTGCAGTTTGCAGGGCATGCCCTGGACGCTACAGTTGGCAGGAATACAGTGCCAGGATAGACAGCTTGGGGCCGTGGAACAAGCCAGGAGTCTGGGGTTCTAGTCCTGGCTCTACAATTAATATGCCATGTGACTGGAGGCAGTCCCTGCCTCCTCTTTGAACCTCAGTTTCCTCATTTGAAGAGGGAAACAAGGGCCTCTTTACTCTGATGTCGATTGAGCTGGCTTGATTGCAAATGGATAAGTAGAGGCTCTGTCAAGAAAGGGGCTGGAAGGAATAGGCCACACATGGTTTCCAGGCACGATGGGTCCGATGGTGGCTGGGACACCTGGTATAGTAGCCCTGCCTGGTCCTGCAGCCTGGGCCAGAGTGTGTGAGTGGCCCCAAATCTTTTCCCAAAGTGAGCCTCACTTTCTTCCGCTGCAAAGTGGAAGCTTTGTGCTCAGCTGCCTTGTGAGCCTTTGTCTGGGAAGCATCAGGAACAGAATTTGGCTGCTCCAGCCCAGACAGGGAGGTGTGCCGCACAGCCAGGCAGGCAGACAGTCCGGCAGGAAGGCAAACTGCATTTCCAACTGCAGAGAGCTTATGTCAGTCCAACCCTGGGGCCATTCGGAAGCCCCCATCAAAGCTGTGTCCTGGGAGAAGCAATGAAACCCCAGGACTGCTGAGGCACGGACATTCGAGCTGCCGTTGCCGTCTCTTCCCTTCAAAGGCGACTCCAGAAATCAATGGGAAGAGATTCATTAGAGACCTGGGTGGCGCGCTCCCCACCACCTCCAGCAGCCCCTTTGTTAACCAGCCTGAGCTTCCTGTCTGAACAGGCTGCCTGCCCCTGAGAAACAACCCACGTTCTAGGAAGCAGGTCAGAGACCTAGGCTCCGGGCAGGGCAGCAGGGCCACCACACACCCTTAGAGGCTGTGATTGTTCACTGTGCATTCAATCATTCTTGGTTCACTCATTCATTCAGGCAGCTGGTCCTTGTTTCATTCATACAGCTAATATTTATAAAGCATCTGCCTGGCATATTTTAGATACTGTCAATATAACACATCCAAAACAGACTAAAGTCCCAGTTGACATGGAGCTTGCCTTTTAGTGAGGGAGACAGCATTAAACAAGGTAAATAATTGAAATACACCAGCCAACAATGCTAAGGACAAAGCCACGTCAGGAGACTCACAGGCATGTCAGAGGGGGCTGAGTTGTGGTCAGTGTGGTGGCGGGGGCTCCCCAGTCAAGGGGTCCCCCGAGGGAAAGCCTGCAGGATGCGGGGATGTGGGGATGGAGCCAGGGCCACCTGGAGAAGAGCATTCCTGGCAGAACCCTGGAGGTGCATCGGGTGCATTCACAGCTAGAAGGGCATCGAGGCTGGACCAGAGTAAGCCGAGGGGGACTGGAGGGAAATGAGGTCAGAGAGATGACGGAGACTGGAGGCTGGGTCACGCGGGGGGCTCAGCCACAAGGACTTGCATTTTACACCAACGGGGCCAGAGCAACATGAGGAAGGGTCTTAAGCAGAAGAATGTTTTGTGACTTAGGTTTTAACGGATCCTCCATTTTAGTTTGCTAAGGCTGCCATAACAAAGTGCCACACAGCGGGTGGCTTACACAATAGCGATTCACTGTCTCACAGTTCTGGAGACCTAAAAGCCCAGAGGAAGGTGTCAGTAGGGCCAAGGTCCCTCAGAAGGCTCTAGGGAAGGATCTTCTCCAAGGTTCTCTCCTCGCTTCTGGTAGTTTCTTGGCTTGTGGCAACATAACTTCAGTCTTCACGTGGCATTGTCCCTGCATGCATGTCTCTGTGTCTAAACTTCTTTTTATAAGGACACTAGTTCTGATGGATTAGGGCCCACCCTAATGACCTCATCTTAACGTGGTCATCTGCAAAGGCCCTACTTCCTTCCAAATAAAGACACATTCACAGGTTCTGGGGGTTAGGAGTTCAACATTTTTTGTGGGGACACAGTTCACTCCCTAACACCATGGCTTCTCAATTGGTCTTTCCTAGGACCTGGTGTTAGGTGGTCTCACCCTTGTTTTACAAAGGAGGAGGTCGAGGCTCTGAAAGCCTAACAGCTCGTCAGGGCCACCAGCTAGTCAGAACTTGTTTCCTGAGCCTCAGCCTCCAAATCCAGGCTCCTCCCTTCCCTCTGCAGCGCCTCAGTTAGCCAGGAGAGCATGGCCAGTTCCTTCCTGTCTCCGCCCTAGCCCTGGGGGCAGCCCCAAGCCCTACCGGCTCCCCGCTTGCCCCCTCCCCGCTCGGTAGCCTGGGGCTGAGCAGGTAGCTGAGCAGGCTCCTCTGAATGATCATTTTGTGTCTGGTTCACGTGCCCCCTCCCCTCAGAATCCTCTCTTCTCCTCTAGCCTGGCAGGATGCTTTCCTGGAACCCCAGTAACCTTGCCCTTGTAGAACTTCTCGGAGGTACTGAGTGGAGGTGTGGGGCACCGGGTGGTATTGTTTTCAAAATGAAACGATTATAGGATTTGGGTGGAAGCCAAATGCAGACTTCTGGGAATGCAGCCTGGGTCCAGGATGAGTGGCCCTGCTGGAGGATACGCCCAGGAAGGGGAGCGGGGTAGAGTGGCAGGAGGCTAAGAGGCATGGAGGTCTCACTGTGCATCGTGTCCCTGTCCCCCACTCAGGTGGAGCCCCAGCAAACTCAAAATGTCACACAAATGCTTACAAATGCATAGATGCTAAACTCTAAAAAGAAACACAATGAAGCAAGAACTATTTCAGTATTTGTAATGTGGTATGAGGGAAAGAATATAAAACGGAGTTGGGGGCATGAGCTCTCATCACAGCTCTAATTGACTGTGTGACCTGGAGGTCACCTTCCTTCTCTGGATCCTAGACTCCCACCTTGGGAATATGTGATGGTTATCAATGCATACTTTTGAACTGGATTGCCAAGTCATTTAAACCCTTGGGCAAATTGTCTAAACCTCCCTGCGCCTCTGTTTTAGTTTCTGTACAGTGGAAATAGCTCCTGTCAGAAAGGTCTGGTGGTGAGGATTGTTAATACTTGGAAAATGCCTGGAAGTGTGCCTGCCAACCAGCAAGCTCTCAGTAACCATGAGCTGCTTATTACACCAGGAGAGCAGAGGCCAGGATCCTGCTTGGGCCCCTAGCTCTGTGACCCCGTGTGTGGACACAGGAGGGGTTCTGAGGTCTGGTGGGGATGCCTGCATTGGCCAGGAGCTCAACCGCAACTGTCCCTTTCATCTTAAAGACTAAGTGAAGACCTGAGGAGGTTGACCAGGATGAGGGGGGAAAGGGAGTGGGGACAGAGAGAACAGTGTCATAAAGACACATGAGAGTTTATGCCCTGACCCCTCAGAGGTTGGCAGAAGCCCCAGGAAGGGGTCTCTGGAGGCAGAGCCCCTGAGTTGTCTCATGCCCCAGGGCTGCTGTTTGAGCCTTCCTTGGGCAACTGAGCTGGCTGTGTGATAGCTGCTCCATGCCAGGTCCCCGGTATGTGTGCATCCATTTGTTGAATGCCCACTCTATGCTCTACACTCCCACGTGTCCTGAGAAGGACCAGGGATGTGAAGGTGGATGGCCCAGGCAGCTCCCAGGGCCTGAGCTCATGCCTGTCACTCTCACGTGGACACGTGGCTGGGGCCTCCTTGTCCACCTCACCCTCCCTCTGAGCGCCTACGCCCGCATGGGTGACATCTCCGAGTCATAGGATCCTTGCTCAGCCCTGCTGAATCAGCAGACCCTGCCTGAAGAAGAGCTCTGTGTCTCAGAACCCAGCACCCAGCAGAGCCGTCCCTGGCTTCATTGTTCTCCCTCTAAGCGGTCAGAGGGAGCCTGGCTTTTGTATGCTTGTCTTTCCTTGCTAGTGGCCTCTCAGCCCCCAGGCCTCCCACTATGCAAAGCCTTATACAGGAGGTGACCCAGCCCAGAACCACTTTGACCCCTGGGTGACCTACATCCTAGGTGGCTTGATTCTTTTTACTGGGTAATGCTGGGACAGGATCCAGGAAGCCCATCCCTCTGTGGGTAAACAGGGGAGCCCTGGAGAAGGCCCCTGTCTGCGCCCCCAGCTTGACTGGAAGGGTCCCCACCCGCCCCCACCCCAACCCCACCCAGTTGGTCTTGCAGAGGCAGGCTCCGCATGGCAGGCTCCTCCAGCTGGGTAAAGCATCCTCCCTCCCCTTGCTCTCCCGAGCAAGCCACCACTGCCTTCCCGGCTGCAGCGCCGTGATTTATCGGCGGCTCCTCCTCGCCAGGGCCCACGGCAGGAGGAGTTCAAACACCCGCGAGAAAAGCCACCCGCTATTGATCCTCGCGTCAGGCCTCCCAAGCGCTGGCGGGCATTCATCAAGGAGCCGCAGCGCGGGGGCTGCAGCTCGCCCTTTCTTCTTCCTTTCTTCTCTCTCCCAAGTCATTCCCCTGGGGCTATGCCCCCCTTGCCGAGGTCACTCAGAGAGCTCACCAAGTGCCTGTGAGCTGAGGTGGAGAGCGCCTTTGTCTGCGGCCTCTTTGCTGTAGATCCTTATCAAGGGGGTGGAGCGGGCTGCTTTGGGCCCCAGGCTTTTGAGCAAATCTTTGGAAGTTGGAGAAGTGGAGTTGGAACTCGGAACAAGTGGAGAAGGCCCTCTGAAGCAGAGACTGGTTGGAGTGCCCGTATTTCTGTAGACCGGAGGCGTGTAACTAGAAAGAGTTTGCTAACCAAGTGGGCCAGAGAGAGCCTTGAAATTAGCATCTGAAAACCCCAGCTTTGGCCTGAAGGCCTCCCGTGCAGTCTGGTGAATGGATGCTTGAAAACAATTTGTTTTCCTAATTACGTAAATCTAGTGAAGAGTATTTATCTTTTTTTTTTTTTTTTTTTTTTTTTTTGCTTACCTGGGGAAAGTCTAAAATCTCTGGTCTCAAGCCGGAGGAGCGTATATTAATTCTCTTCTCCAGCCCCACCCTATGACTTACCAGAGTGGGTACCTGGGAGAACAGGGAGATGGGGTAGGGAGACTGGCAGGTTGTCTTTATTGAAGTTTCCTGGGCAATGCCACCAGGTCTGTCCCCCTCTGGTATAAACCTCTGCTCAATTCCAGTCCAAATTCTGGCTCAACCTACCAAAGTGGTTTTGCTGAACTCAGCTCCTGGGGCTGGCCACATGGTACCAACACATATAGGATATCTCAAAAATGAATTTGGAAGTCCCAAACATGCGGGTCTTTGGTGGCTCAGAAAGCACTAAGGATCAGATTAGAATAGTGAACTGCCATTGCACAGAATGGGGAAGGGTTTGTGTTCTGGTTATTTCAGATAGTGGCTCTTTGGATTCTGGATAATGGAGGTCCAAGTGTTGACATTGTTAAAAACCAGATTAACAGTAGAAACCAGATCTTAGGTACATCCATCTCAGTGTTCTCTTGGAACACGTGAGCCATATTGTCCCACCACATCTGTTTTCTGGGTGTCATTTGCTGAGCAGTGGGCTTTAGAGTAGGTCAGTCATCTGGAGGATCTGCAGTGGGGAGATGGGCGAGTCTTCACTGGACCCCTGCCTGCGGTGCTGCTTGGGAGGGCAGGGCCCCAGTGAATGTCTCAGTGAGTAAATGACTGTCCCCAAAGAAGCCATAATAACCTACAAGGAGATGAGATGGAGGTGAGGATAAGCAGAGCCTGGAATTTGTGCAAAGCTGAAGGGAAGTCCTTCCCCTGGCTGCCCTGGGGTTGGCCTGCCAGTAAGGGGATGCCAATTAATTTCTCTTGCAGGAAGCTAGTTCGTGTCCAAAAGGCTCAAGTTATGAAGTACGAATTAATCCATTTAACCAGCTTCTCGGAGGGAAAGCCCATGACAACTGCATTTTCAAATGCCATCCTGAAAGCGATATTTCAAGTGGCAGTGGGTGGGATTAGAGCCTGCTAACGATTTATGTCAAACAAGGAGCAAGAACATTATTTCTAGATAAGTGATTTGTCCCAGCAACTTCCAGGGCCGGCAGGAAGGTTTAGGGGCCAGCCAGAGGCTGAGGCTGAGAAGAGGGGATGGAGTCAGGAGATGTCACCTCAAAGGCCAGTGAACCTGGTCAGCTCCCGGTGTTGGCCAGGGCAGCAGGGCACGGCAGTCCAATACAGAGGAGATTTTAAAGACAGTCATGGCTGCCCTTCTTTGGGGATGAATGATGGGGACTCACTTACCTTCCTAAGTGTTTGGGGCAGTTAGGTCACCACACAAGCAACTTTCACAGGCAGGTGGGTGGGGCTGGGGGAGGGAGCTATAAAATACAGTTTCTCCCGAGGGGGTAATGATGACAGGGAGTGCCCACGAAAGAGGAAGGGGCGAAGATCTCTGGAGGTGGGACAGCAGGTGGGCTTCCAGGGGTGTCTAAGGGGCAGAGAGGTGGGGGGTGAGCAAGCGCTGAAAGCCCGGAGCCCTTGCGACAGACTGGCTGGAAGGAAGAGGCCTCGGCCACCACAGGATGCAATGTCAGGAAGGCAGCAGCTCCCGGGGCGGGGCAGGGCCGCGCGCAGCCGCCCCCGGCTTCCCTCCTGCCGCCAGCTCCTGGTCACAGGAACTCCCCGAAGTCGGGGAGCGGGAGCGTACGTGCGCGTGTTCACCCTGTCCTGGGCCCCTCGCTCGGGGAATCCCGGGGGTGCCAGGGCACCCAGGGTCAGGGAAGTAAGATGCCGGGCCGCCTACCTTCTCCACCCCGTAGCCCGTTCCGAAAATCCTTTAAACCGAGATTTAATCTGGATGCCTAGCCCCGCCCTCCCCTCCCCTCCCCTCCCCTCCCCCCGGCCGAGGCCCCCTCCAGTTCAGCTCCCTCCTCCACCCCCTCCCCGCCGTGGACCCTCATTAGCATGCCCACTTGGGAGGATTCGCTGGGGGGCGGGAGACACCCGAAGTCATCCACCGCCAGCGCCTTCCCGGCGGCCTCCTCGGGCGACAGCGCTCCGGGAGCCCCACTCGCACAAGTGTTGCTTCCAATTAATTGCCTGGGCGGGGGAAGGAAAGGGGCCTCGTCGCCGCCCCCGCCCGGAGGCTGGAGTGCTGCTCGTCGGGTCGTGCGTTCGCTCGGCAGCGGCGTGCACCAGCACCACCCCTGCGTGCAAGTTTGAAATGTGAGCTGCCTCCGATTCATACTCGCTCGCGCTCCCTCGCAGCGAAGTGGCTGGGCTGACGGTCTGCGCGCGCGAGTGAGTGCGGGCGGCGGGCTGGGGGGCGGGGTGCGGACGGCGAGGCTCGCGGGGCGGGGAGGGCGCGCGCGAGCCGGGGCTCCCTGGAGACGCCAAGGCAGGTCTGCTCGCCTTTCATCTTCCTCCCGCGCTCCTCCTCCTCCTCCCTCCCCTCCCCCCGCCGCGGCTGGCCTGGCCTCCCCCGGAGCCCCCAGCCCCACGCGGGCACACGCAGGGTGGGTGGTCACGCCCGCAGGGTCCGCGAGCGCGGCGCAGAGCGCGGGCCGTGGGAAGTTTCTCCGGCGCGCCCCGTGCGCCCCCGCCCCCCGCGCGCCCCCGGCCCATCCCCGTCCCTGGAGAGCTGTCGCTTGCGCCCGGGCGCGCGGCTGGCTGCCTCCTCGGCGGCGGCGGCGGCGGCCCCATTAGCGGAGCCTCCGCCTATGATTGGCTTCGCCCGGGAAGCTGGAGACGGGCGATGAATAATTGATGTGTGCGGTGCGGTAGCCGGACGGCGGCGGCGGTGGCGGGCAGCAGCGAGCGGGAGCGCGGGAGCCGGAGCGCCCTCGGAGCGGGCAGCGCGGAGCGAGCGGGCGCCGGACCCGCCCGGGCCCCCGCGCCGCCGCCGCCGCCGGGGCGCGGAGCGGGGATGCAGGCGGCGCCCGCTGCCTGCGCGCAGCCTTTGTTCGGCGCTGGCTGAATCCTACCCGGAGTCGCTCGCCGCGGCCGCCGCCGGCCGGGCCCCAAGCCCCCGAGGGCGCCAGGGCGGGATCGCGACCGGTGCAACTTCTAGGTAAGTGCGGGGTCGGAGGGGTCGGCGCCTGGGCGCCCACGGGCCGGGCCCTGGGCTCCCTCCGGGCGCGGGGGTGAGTGTGCGTGCCTGTGTGTGACAGAGGAGGGCCGGTGCATTGTGGGTAGCGCCGTGTGCTGCATGGTGTCAGCCCCAGGCTTGGCCGCGAGAGTGGCACCGGCGTGCACCGGGCCGGTTTTGTGTGCCCACAGACGGGGCCTTCATTTCTCTTTGGGGCCACGGGGCAGAGTGCGCCCCCACCCAGGTCCCTGAAGGTGAAGTGTTGGCTCTCCAGCAGACATTTTACGAGGCTCTGTGCTCAGTCGGCTCACGCTGCAAAAATAAGAATCGGCCAGGATGCCTTCGGAGGCAGCGCCTGAGGGTCCTCGACTTCAAGCTGCTCCTTTGTCAGAATGCAGCCCTGATGCCTCCAGCGCGTAGAGACCCCACGGGCACTGGTGATGCCACCATTGCGGCAGGGTGCCCTTCGCAAAGGTGGTGGGTGCCGAATAGACTTCTGACAAGTGTTTGCTGGCAAGCTGGCTAGAGGAGAGAGGTGGATTTGCACCAGAGGGCAGGAAGCAGCCTTTCAGGAGATGCCTGGTTGTGAGGACCTTGTACAAGACCTTGGAGAAAGAGCCCCTTGATAGGGACTAAGAGGAGGCTGCCTGGGGTCCTGAGCATGTGGTTTTGGTATTGGTGTCTTCGAAGCCAAGCCATGGTGCGGTGGGCACCAGATAGGTACCAGTTCCTGGGTCGAGAAGCCCTCTGGGGGGAAACTAGGAGAGGTCAGCTGGCACTTCTTTAGACGGGTTTCAGGAGACTGTCATTCCTGCAGTGGGGACCCAGTCCCTTCGCCCTTGACCATCAGGCGAGACTGCCAGATGAGTGTTGAGCAGGGCTGATGGCTCTTCCAGCAGGAAGGCTTTGTGTGGCAGGTGGCATGGAGTTGGTGCCAGTGTGCTTCTCATTGGCCCATCTTTGAGAGTGGCCACAGAAATTGGGCTGAGGAGAGAAATCAGGCTGAGAGTCAGAAATCTGGCTGAGGAGTGAGTTGGGGTGAAAAGGCCGTGCCATCCTGAAGTCAGGGTGACCCCAGATGTTACGTGGGGGCTCCGGCTCCCCCAGTTATGGGGCTCTGGGCCTGAAGCTTATCTCCCATCTGCTATGGAGGAAAGGCCCTGTCCCAGGGGTTGCGTGGAAGGGTGACTCTTGGAGTCCACGTGGCTCCTAACAAGCCTTTCCCCTTTTTTTGTGTATAAGCCAGGCAGTGACTACCCTCCAACTAGCTGGATTCAAGTCCCCTTCTGAGCTATTTTTATCCTGAACTTCCTTAGTGAGAAACCACCAAACGGCGATGCTTTGGTGAGAATCTAGGTCTTTACCGGAAGCGCAGCCTGCACAGAGTTTACACCTCGCTACATAAGGCTGCCTCCACTGCCCTGCACAGCCCTCCCCTGGCTCAGAGCCCCTGTGCCTCTCTCATGCCTCTTGATTCTCATCACAGCCTGTGCGCTCAGGGACTTTTGAGCCCCAGTTTCAGATGGGAAAACTGATGTGCCCGAGATCATCCAGTTGGGGATGTAGGAGGCCAGGCCTGGCTCCAACAGGAGCAAGACCTTGATGCCAGTGGGCTCCCTGAAGGCAGGGACCACGTGTTTCTCATCACCGTATGCCCCAGTGCCAACTGTGGTGCCTGGCGGATGGTGGGTGCCCAGTGGCTGCTGAATGATGATGGCACGAGTGGAAGGCTGGTTGGGTGTGTTTTCCCCATTGGAGTTGGGACGGGGTCGGGGGGCAGAGGGATTGAAAGAGCACTTCCAGATCTCAGTCTGCATTGGTTGAGCACCCAGTCCATGCAGTCCCTGGGAACTCTGAGATGAGTCCCTAGTCTGGAGTCAGGCAGCTAGAGGGAGAAAGGTGCTTCCACAGAGGTTCTGCGGAAGTCCTGCCCGGGGCTTCCTGAATGTTGCCCCAGGGAGTAAGGAGTGACTGAGCTGGGTCTAAGATGACGCCATTCAGTACAGTAGCCACTGGCCACATGTGGCTGTTTGTGAATTTCAATTAATTAAAGGGATGAGTTAAGCTTATCCTTGGCACTAACCACATTCAAGCACTCAGTAGCCACCGAAGGCTGGTAGCCGCCTTGTTGGGCAGCTCAGACTCTAGAACATGTCCACCACAACAGGAAGCTCCATGGACGACAGACAGCGCTGTCCAGGAGGATAGACTTAAGACAGAGGTGCAGTGAGGACACTAGCTCAGAGCCCACAAGTGTAACAGTGCAGGCGAGTCTGTTAGATAAAGAGACCTCCTGTTTCTCTAGCATTTGTTTTGTGGCAGCCTGCTGCGGGGAAGGAGTAGACCAGCCAGGCATTCCCATTTAACACAGGAGAAAACTGAGGTTCACTTTTGCCCAAGGTCATCCAGCAAGAGGGTGGCATGAGTCCCAGGTCTCCAACCCCTTGGCCAGCACTCTGTCATCCAGCAGAGGTCAGCCAGGGGGCACGAGTGGGCAGCGGTCCCAGGAGCAGCCTCAGACCTCCCTGAGGGACAGTCTTGGTGCCAGTAGGCGTCAGTCCCTGTGAAGTCATCCATTGATCGGGCGGGAGCGCCAGCTCAGCCTCGGGTCCTCAGGAACAGAGAGTTCTGTGCTGGCAGAGCTGGAAGGAGCGGGCGCGAGGCTCTCTGGGCAAGGGAGGTGTTTACCTTGAGCGATGCGGCATGGGTCCCTCGGGAGAGGCTGGCTCCTCCATGGGGAAGGAACTCCTCAGTGGGGCCTGTGGCTGGGATCCTTAGCACCACCTCAGAGAGAGGGGTACAGGCCCGAACCCAGCAGGGAGAAGGATTTCGGGACCTTTGACTGGTACAGAGTGCACCTCACCCTTGCTCTTGCCCCGCCACACCGTGTCACAGAGCATCTGCTGGGCCTCCCTCGCCCTCCTTCCCCAAGCCTCGGCTGCAGGAGGAAACTCTCCCAGGGCCTGGCAGAGCAGCAGCTGCCTCACGAGGGAGCCTGCAAAGGGAAAAACAAGGCCTCCACCCTCGAAGCACTTCCAGCTTCCCAGGGAGCTCCCTGGCCAGACACCACAGGCAGGGAAGGAAGGCCAGCCCACTGGCCGGAGGGCCGAAGGGACTTCCTGCCCCAAGGTCACATGGCAGGAGAGGCCATGGATGGAGCCAATGCCCTCTCCCAGCCCACTGCAAATCCCAGTCTCCCAGTGGGAACGTGTGGTTTATGATTTCATTGTGCCTGCTGCCTGGTTTCCTGCTCCAGCCCTGAGGTGAGGGTTAGCTTCCTGTGGCCTTGTCCCTGTGTCCTGAGGTGCCCACTCCCCCAGCAGCAGGCCTTGCTGCCGCCTCCAGCTCCCATGGCCCTGACCTGACTGAAGTGGGAGGTCTGAAAATGCGGTGGCTTTCTGCAGGGACCCCCGCACACCAGAAAGAGGGTTCTTCAAGGCCCATCAGGGCAGCTTGAGGGATGCGAGGACCTTTGGCGACACTCTCAGGTTTCCAGTCCTCTAGAGGGAGAAAATGGTCAGGGGCGGGGCACTGATGAGGCCTTTCCGGGGAGCCCTTCCAGGACCCATAGTGAGTCCCTCGGGGAAGCTCACAGTGTCCTTGTTCCCCAGGATCTGATGGGCTGTGTGCCTTTCCAAACTGATGCACAGAGCTGGGAGCTACCCCCATCACCCAGAGTACTGGGCGTGAGGACCCCTGGGTGGGCCAAGCAGGCAGTCTGCTGTCCCCCTGCCTGGCCAGGCTCAGGAAGTATGACCCTTTTCCTCCCTCTCAGTAGCCCCAGCCATGGCCCTGACTTCTCCTTAGAGCCACCCTGGGGCTTCTCTAAGCCGCAGAGACCCTGCTGGGTTCCCCAACTGCTCCCACCCCCCGTAGGGTGAGGCCAGGCCTTAGAAGTGCCTGGCCTGGGGCAGTGGTGCTGCTTTGTGTGTACTGGGTGAATGGAGAACAGGGGATTTAGCCAGGACACTCACATTTTCTGAGACTGAGGCTCCCAAACCACCCTGGAGAGTTGTTGGGTCTGAGGGGAGGCCCGGCCCCTGTGATTTGGCTTGTAAAGCTCCCCAGATAATTCTGATGCTATTGGTAGAATCATGGCTCCCAACACTAGCCCTGAAGTGATTGTATCTGTAGTCTGGTGCCAAATTAGTGTGTGACCTTTGGCAAGTCACTTCCCCTCTGGGGGCCTGAGTGTCTCATCTCTGCCTCATCTTTATCTCATCTCTAAAAGGTAGACTCCACTCCAGGGCCTCAATACCAGCCCTGTGCCAGAGAGGTGGGGAGAGAGGAAAGTGAGAAAGAAGCTTGGGCCATGTCTTTGGGTGCCACCACCCGCATCTGGGTGTGCAGTGGGAAATATTAGGGTGCAGCACGGCAAGAGAGAATTAGATGAACAGAGGCCTATGCTCTACACCCCAAGAGCTATAGAAGGAAGAGGGGAAAATGGTGACTTTCAGGCTGGAGCGGCCTGAAACACTTCCCAGGTGAAACTTGATTTTGGAAATGGGCAGGATGAGAAAGGACTGTTGGGTGGGAGGACTAGTAGCTGCGAAGGCTTGGAAACCAGGAGAGGTATGGCGCTTGATGAGAAAGGAGGATGTCCCTCCAGATGGCAGGGGGGAGGTTAGCAGGAGCTCGAGGAGAGGTTGAGTGAGGCTGCTGCAACACCTTCAGGGCAGTGGGGAGCCATCAAAGGCTTTGGAGCCTCAGAGGCACTGGGACTCCTCCTGCTTCTAGGAGCAGGGCTGCTGCTGAGTAGCAGGCAGGAATCGGGCATAGAAGTTGGGAGTAGTGCGAGGTCGGCGTCCTGCTGTGGGAATGTCCCTGCCCCTGCTGACGCAATGGAAAGCCTCGTCTTGTTTCAGGGTTCCTGTTTTGTGGTTGCCCATGGTGGGGGGCGAGGGCAGCCAGCTCTGCCTTCTGAGGAGCTCCGGGAACTGGATGGAGCTTGTCCAGACCTCCCCACAACAGTCCTCTGCTCTCCTGGAAAAGAGAGGCAGTCCTGTTTGTGGAGTCTCTCCCTAGTCCCTCGGGGGATTCTAGCCAGGCCCAGGAGGCTTTAAATCAATGTGTGCATTTCCCTGGGGCTGGGACTGGAGTGGATGGGTGCCAGCGGGTAGTCTCTGGGCTTGCAGAGTTGGTCTCCCACCCTCCCAGGGCTCCAGTGTTGAATCCCTGCTCCCTGGGTCAGAGCCTGAGGCACTAGTGATTTACCAGCTCCCTGTCTGCCTCCCAAGAGCTTATGATCTGATGGGCAGCTTCACTGTGCGCAGAAGATTTAGCAAGGTCTGGTTCAACCCCTGTGTGTGGGAGGCCAGGACTGTGAAAAAATGGGGGGCATGTTTCAGAGAGGAAGGAAAAAGGAAGCCCAAGGAGCCCTTTTTCCTGCCTCTCACTTCTGCTGCTTCCAGGCCCAGCTCTAATGCCATGGCATGGCCCAGGAAGCTTTCCCTGGATCCCCACACCCAGCGTCCGGGGCCACTGTCTCCTTGCGGTCCTTAGCTCCTGTGCACATCCAGGATCCAGCGCTGTACATCAGTAGCTTCCTGTCATCCCTTGCCCACCTGGGTGTCAGCCCACTACACTGACTTGAAGGACAGGCGGTTCGTGACTTGCATCCACGCTGGGTGCTGCGTAAATGTCTGTCAGATGGCCAGCCCGGAGCATGAGGACATGGCGGCCCTGGTCACCCAGGCAGGAATTGAAAGGCTCGAGGTCTTGGCCCAGCTCTGGCTCCCCAGCTTGTCTGTGTGATGTGAGGGGTGCCTGCCTTTCTTGAGGTCCCTGCTTGTAAGGAGCAGCGTGGGATTTACTGTGCTGTCCAGTATAGCAGCCACACATGTATTTAAATGTACATTAGTAAAATTAAATGAAGTTTTCAGTTCCTCAGTCACAGTAGTCACATTTCACGGGCTAGTGGCTACCAGATTGGACAGTGCAGTGGTGGAATGTTCCCATCATGGTAGAAAGATCTGTTGGCAGTGCTGTGCCTGAAGTGGTCACTCTGTGGCCCGCGGGCCTACCCTGTTGGCAGCTCTGGTGACTGCTCCTCTCCCTTTCCCCCCAATGCACGAGGGACCTCCCTGCCCAACTACCCGGGGCTCTTAAAATGGGGCCACCCGGTGTCCTTCCCAAGCCAGTGTCAGACAGTAATTATGAAACCCACATCTGTCATTTACCAGGTGACTTTGAGTAAGTCACCAAGGTTCTCTGAGCCTCTGTTTCCTGATCAGTGCAGTAGAGCTACTTGTCCCTGCCTGGCAGGGTTGCAGTGGGGAGTAAATGAGATGGGGCTAAAAGGCGCTTAGGTTGGTATCTGGCCCATAGTAACGTCTCAGTAGCTGGCAGCTTTCATCACTGTCAGGTGGATTCATCCCCTCGCAGCATGGGCTTAGTTCCAAAACTGGCTGGGCATTAGGTTCCCCTCAAGTTCCTGAGCCCGAGACTGGGTTCTCTCCACCCAGCTCCACCACCAGCCCCCTTCTGTCTGAGCCTCAGTTTTCTCATCTGTACAGTACTCCTGCCTGTCCTTGCCCTGTGTTGCAGCTGGAGACCTTGCTGTGCCCTGTGGAGGGTGGTGCCATCTGGGGGCTTATCCCTCCTTCCAGCATGGCCACTGTAACAGGAGAGCCTGAGAAGGTCAGGGGACAGAGGGGCACAAGTGTGCTTGCCACTTGTCTGTCCCAGAGAGAAGCTGCCTGGCTGTCCCTCCGGCAGCCATCAGGGAGGTCCTAGCATGTGTCAGCTCTGGAGGAAGTAAGCGTGGCCGGCACCCACGTGCCCACTTTCATTTCCCTCTTGGGGAATGAGAGGTGAGAGTCTGCACCCTGGACTTCTGAAGCCCGCCAGTGATTTGCACAAGGACTTCTTCCTTGAGGTCTACCCATAGTTTGTCAGGGTCTGTGAGCCCCTGCATTTCTGGGCAGAGGGTCTGTGAGTCGAGCCATGTTGAGGTGGCCCTTGGGGTCCAGCCATCCTAGTGAGAGTGGGCTTGCAGAATAAGGACTGTGAGTCCAGCCTTGGCTTTCAGGTGCCCAAAGGGTGCCTGGAGAACCCCTCGCTGAGAGGAAATTCTGGGAGCTGGGGAAGGGTCCCAGGAGCCAACACACGGCTTCTTGTCAAACCCTAGGTCCTGGCACCCACGGTGTCCTTGGTGTCGGGATGGGTACTGGGAGACAGAACAGCCTTCAGGCGCAAGGCCGGAAGACCATCCTGGGGAACAGACCACGCGCAGGGAGAAGGCACAGGAAGCTGGGGGGCCAAAAGGGGAGGGGCTTGCTGGGGACTTGTGGCCATTGTAGAGATCGAGGAGGTGAAGACTGGGCACTGCACTGAATTGGGGGTTTCCAGGTGGGGATGGGATGGCCCTCCTGTGGCTCCCCACTGTTAGGAGCGAGAGGCCCTCACCCCACAAAGGTGCCCTCCCAAGCTTGCTCCCTACGTCTGTCCCCCTCCTCTCCTGTCTTCTCCACACACCGGGACCTCTCACCCTGTCTAAGCCTCAGTTTCCTCATCTGTAGAACCGGAGACTAGTACTCATCCCCTAGGGCTGTGGGAGGATTAAAGAGCTCATTCCAGCCAGCACCTTGAGCACAGTGCTGGGATCTCATCGCCCCTGAGCAAACATGAGCTACCCTTCCTGCTCTACGTGGTTCTCCTCATGTTTGTGGGAGGCGTGTTCCTCTGGGTCACTTGTCCTCCTGCTCCCCAGCTTTGGGGCCTCTTTATTGTCCATTGCAGCCCAGCCTATCCAGACACTCCCCCAACCCCTCACCCCATACATCTGTTGGGGGTACCTTTTCTCCAGCATGAGCCCCGAACTGGTAGAACATGCAGAATGCCCATCTTCTCCAAGAGCCTGAGACATCTTGGAGCAAATAGTCCCCCTGCCTCCAGCCAGGGCCCCAGGGCTCTTGGCCAGAAGCTCAGGGCTCACTCAGTGTTTGCTGAGCAAAGGCTTGTGTCTTCCCTGCAGGGAGTGGGGACAGCTTGTGTAACTCTCAGGTATGTCTTCATTTGATTTGCCAGCAACAGGCTCAGAAAGTTACTGGGCAGTCCCGGGATGCCCTGGAAAACGGACAGAAGCCATTGTCCCAGGGGGTCAGGGCAGCAGCACCCAAAACAGAGAAACGCCCTATCCCCACCTTACTAGAACCATGGCAGCCTTGACCGTTGGGTCCTTAGTGGCTTCTAGGAGGCCACTCGGGCAATGGGTCTCCCAGGAGCAGCATCAGGACAGGGGAGGGAGTAAGGGCCGAGCACTTGGCTTCCACTGTAAGCTCAGGCTCTGGCTTCTTCTGTCCAGGCCAACTTTGGCCCTTGAAATGGAGGAAGGTCTTCCACCCTCCCTGAACCCTGCTTTTCCTTCGACTGCTGCTGCCCAAGGGCACCCGTAGACAGCAGGTGGGCCTCAGGAGGCAGGCTCCTGCAGGCTCCTGTACCCACCCAGCCTATGTACCCACCCTGCCTAGAATTAAGCCTTCCCAGCATCAGGCCTACCAGGGGCCCATAATCCTCTCAGAGCTTTACATGGCGGTGTACCTTCTCAGATAAATACATTTAGTGACCTGGATAAGATCTTTCTCCTCAGGTGACAGCCTTTGGGATGAAGATTTCTCCCCTGGGGTTTCTTCCCAGGTGTGGCTTTCCTGGTCATCCCCTCCTCTCTCCCAGGAGTGTGTAGTCCACCACACCCTCACCATGGTACCCCCTGGGCTCTTACCTAAATAGAAACCAGCCTCTGAAATGACCTGGCCGAGACTCACTTCCCTGGACACCTCCCCAGTCTTGGGCACCTGCTACCTGAAGCCTTGCTTTCACCCTACCCAAGTGATCTTGTGCTTGAGATGTCCTTCTGCCACCCAGCAGCATACTCAGTTACCACTTCTGCAAAACGGGGACACCCTCACCCACAGGTCTGTTATAGCTACAGGAGTCACCATGTAGGCTGCCCACTGAGTGTGTGAGTGTGTGCAGGCATCTGCTGGGGACCCTGGATGCACGCCCCCCTGCCCGTGCCCTTACTAACAGATGCACCTGTGACCCTTACTAGGCACACTGCACCGTCAGTACAGCACTTAGTGCAGCCCTTGGTATGTGCAGGAATGTGGCATTTCTTCAAGTTCATAACTATGACTATAGCTCGCTCAAGTTTGTATGGTGAGCATCCAGATAGGCAACATATACATGTAATATATTTTGGAATGAGTGAATGAACAAAAGAAGAGCTGGGTTCTCTCTGGTCCAGGCACTGTGGGGAAGGTGAAAAAAGACACATCCCCTCCCCTCTGGGAGCTTAAAAGTCCCAGAATTAAGATGACAGGGCTGGAAGGCAGTGGGTGTGCGGGGCCGGACATGCATCTGGGTGAGAAGTAGGGCTGAGCCTGTTGCAGAGATTATGTGTTGATGAAGAGAAATATAAGACAGAACATTTGCAAATGTTGCCTGGGTTTTGCATCTTTGTGCATATATCAGATAAACATGCAGTTGAACATGCATGTGTCCACTAGGACGTGTGGGGGTCGTTTGCAAGTTGAATGGCTGTTGGATATAGGGTAGTGTACTTGTGAGTTTGTGCAGGCTTACAAACACACTGGGTGTTGGGAGTGTGTCTGTGACATAGGAGGGGCACATGGGGAACTGGGTGTGTAAATGTGTTGACACATTCCAATCCCCTTGGGGCTTACGGGTACCTGCACTGTCCCTCCCTGCCGTGCCGTCTTGGATTGTCTTGGGCGTTTCTAGAGTGCTTCAGAGTCCAGAAAAGCCTTCCACGTATGCAGTGGCTTCTCCTCACCCAGCAAGGGGTGGGAACTGAGGGTCAGGGAGTGTGGGGGACTGGTGGGTAGAGGTGCGGCCTGAACTCTGGCCTTCTACCTTCCAAGTCCGAGGCTTCAGTGTCCACCAGGGCACTGGCAAGGTCCTGTATCCACTTGCCTGGCAGCGCCCTGGGGAATTTGGGATCCAGACGCAGGAGGCTCACTTAGATCCAGGACTTTGTGAGAGGCCCCTGAGCAAAGGAAGGATGACTGTGACCCCAAAGATATCCATCTGCTCAGTGTCCATCATGCCCTGTGTGGATGCATGGGCCTGCACACATGGCCCCACACACAGGTACATGCACACACACACACACATGCTGACACGCACACTCACACACACACTCATGCACACACTCACTCATAGGCACCCCACCCTTGGGGTTTTCCTCTCCGTTCAGAAAACTTAATTGTAGCTTAAATTTTTATTTTCAGCCAACTTTGTTTTTAATGTTGAGTAGCTATCACTTGTTTGTATATACTTCAGAAACAAAGTCCCTGGGAGAGAAGGAGGCTGTTTTCTTAAGCTGAATCCTAGAACTCCAATTAGGAGTGATTGTTCCACTTCTGAGGTTTTCCAGCCGCTTCCTAGCAAGCCCTGCTGAGCCCCTAATTAGGCAGCCAGGGGCGCCCCTGTTCAGGGCCCAGCACATCTCAGGGTGGCCTGTTTGAGGGCCAGTCTTAGGGAAGTTCAGGGCCAGAACCCCAAGTGGACCTGCAGGGTACTGGGGATGGTCCTCTCTGTTCAGGGAGTGGACTGAGGTCATTGCCCGCCATCCCAGGGCCCTGGCTGCCTTTGGGGACATCAGTGCAGGGCACAGAAGCAGAGTCAGGGTGCCCTGGGTTTAGGGAAGCCCCATAAGCCGGGCTGGACGGCCCTTGGCCCAGGCAGGGTCCCATGGGGAGGCTGCCGAGTGCTGCTCTTGCTCTAACTGGGGATCCACCCACGATGGGGCCTGGCCCGCTGGTCTCTATTCACTGCTAAGCAAACTAAAGCTCACAAAAGTACCACAGGAATTAGAGCCAGGGCCACCCCTCAGGCAGGTCTGGGTGACCAAGTCCTGCCTTGCAGTCAGCGTGATATTCCATGCCATGGGTCCCATTTGGGTGGGGGATGGCCTTCCTGGGGTGAGGCAAAACTGAGAAATTTGAAGGGCAGTTTAGACAGGTGGGCGGGGGCGTTGGTGGGTGAGGGTGCCAGGCAATGCAGGGAGAGCCGACTGAGTGAGGGACCTCGGCCTTGTTGGCTTTCAAAACCAAACACCTGATACCTTTCACCGCAGTCGTGATTTTCAGCACATTGCCCGATGGCCCCCATCCACTCTTGCTGGGGAAGAAGGGCGTGTGGTTGAAGAAACAAACCTCTTGCAGCCTCAAGGTCTCCCTGAGCTGCCCACGACAGCTGGTGCCTACTCGCACCCCGCAGGGCTGTGGGCCTCCAGCCCGGGCTGGCTGGGTCCTCTGGTGCCATGGATGCCTGTGGCCGCCCTGGGAGACGTTGCCCTCCACCCAGCCCAAGCCGATTCCCTCTGGCCTTGAGGAGGTTCGGGTTTCTGCCTGCCAGGTGGGCAGCTCCCCTCATTCCCCACAGCAGCCACTGAGCTCACGACACTGCCCTGCTCCTGCCACCTGAGTCCCCAGGTGCCATCTGCCACCCTGTTTCCAGGCGGCAGGTAGGTGGCCTCAGGGCAGGGGAGAGAAGAAGGCAGGCAAATCCCAGATGGGGAAGGCCGGGCTCTAGCCCTGAGGGGCAGGCAGTGCCTGGCCTGCCACCTGGCACCTGGGTTGCCCCCACCCTTCTTCGGGAATGGATGTGAGCAAGTCTGCTGAAGCATGGGTATGAGTAGGTAAGGGGGTTCCCCTAGCATATCTGTGGCTTAGTTTCTCTGCAGGTGTGAGGAGTGGAGTCCGTCTGGGCACCTCTGTGTATATCTGCGTTCCTAACCATCTCTGTCTTGAGCCCGGGCATTCACCAGCGTCCCTGCCCGCTCCCCTCTTATTTCTCTGTGCTCTCCAAGTGTACCTTCCATGTCTCTCAGGGTCTCTGTGTTCCTGCCTATCTCTGTCTCTGCATTCTGAGCTCATGAGGGTGCCTTTGCCATCAGAGCCACCTCTCCCCGCCACCCCCCACATTGAGTTGTTCTACTTAATTTCATTTTCCCGGGGCTCCAACTCACAGAAATAAACCGTCCCTCCCCACCCCTGCACTTTTTCGATTTAACAAGCCTGCTGGAAAACAATAGTGATTTCCGCATCGATCATAAACAGAAGTGATTACCATACAATTACAGCCTGAACCATCAGTCTGGATGCAATCACAGAGCCGCATTGTAAATCGGAAGACAATTGCCTGCAGAATTACCCCCAAATTGGTTTAAGTGGCAACAAAGGAGTGTTGGCATTTTGGTATTTTGGAAAGGGATGGGGGGAATGCGGGTGTCCTGGTGGCAGAGGGTCCCCACTGGGAGCCCCCCAGGGCCCCTTCCTTGGCATTGAGGAGGCTCTTGCTGGGGAGAGCTGCCTGCCACCTTCCTCCCCATGATTTTCCCTTCAATTACTGCTCCCTGCCCGTCTTGGCACAGCTTGTCATAAACTCATTTATACTAATGTGTGAGTGGCTAAGTGTGCCTTCGAACTTGGCCGGCAGAGGGGTGAATCTGATGGAGGGAATTCTGGGGGGCCTCCTCAGCTCCCCAATATCCCCCTTTCTCCATTCCCATCTCACCTGTGGCTCTTCCATGTCACCCCATCCCTCTATGCTCCTGGCCTGGCACCCACCCCACAGTAGCCTTCCCCACTATCTCCCAGCCCTCGGTGGACTCTGGCCAGCATCTCCCACATCCCATCCAGAGCAGCCCCCTCCCTCCTGCAGCTGCAGTGTGTGCCCTGCATCCTTCCCAGCCTTCCAGACCAGCTGGAGGCCACAGTCCAAGCCAGGTGGGCTAGGGCGGCCACTCCAGGGAGGGAGCCTGCCGGTGCCCCTGCAGCACATGCTGAGGGGATCACAGGTGGGTCTGCTCCTTTCCAGCCTGTGGTTTCACAAGAAATGCCCTGCCAGCAGGACCCCTCTGAGTGTCTGAAGACTGGACTCTTAAGCTCCAGCTGTTTCCACAGGGGGCATGTCTTGCTCTGGGAGGTGATTTCTCTCCAGGGTCAGGCTGCTCTGAAGTTACCAGGAAAGCCTGCCCACCCACTGACACAGTCAGATCCCCTCACAGGCATCCATATCCAGGTCATAAGTGCTTTGGCATGCCCCATCTGATCCTCACAGAAAGGTTTGTGCATGCTTGTGATTTTGCTCTAGTTTTTCCATTAAGAAAATAAAAAAGAGGTGGGGAGACCTGAGGGGTGACATGGCTTGCTCCAGGTGACACAGCCCATCAGTGAAAAGTGACGTCTTCAGGCTTCTATGTGAGTGCTTCTTCCTAGATGCTGTCTACAGCCTCCCCAGACCCACATGAGACAGACTGGGGTCTCACCTTGTCGCTGACCTGCCTTGAGACCTCAGACAACACCAATAATTAAGCAAGCCCGAGTGAGCACATGCTCCGTCCTCACCTGTTTATTCACATGTCAACTCCGCTCATCCCATTGCAGCCCTGTAAGAGGATGGGTGGGTCCCTAGTGAGGGGACTGAGGACCACTGTGGGGACCCCAGAGCCCTCAGATTCCTGGTGACAGCAGCTGGTCTGCCCCCTGTCTGCCAGCCTCTGAGCCTCTGCTAATACACCCTGGAAGGCAGGAGAAGCCGGATGACCCTGAGGTCTTTTGCACCTGGTGCCACTGAGGGCCTCAGTTGTGCTGTCCTGGTTGCTCTGCAAAAGCTTTAGGACTGGGCACCATCTAGAGTTGGTGTATCTGGAACCAGAAACTCTGTTGGCTGCCCCAGCTCTACCCTGAGTCAGGGGAACATCGGTGTTGCCCTGGGCTTGGCCTGCAGAGCTGGGGTGGGTCAGGCTTTGGGGTGACCCTGTGCCTGGCATTGGGAGGTGCTAGCATTGGGAGGTGACTGATCTGGAAGAGAAGCCAGGCCTCACAGACCATGGTGATGTTCAGGGAAGAAGCTGCTGGTCTTTGCCTGCCAGGCAGACCTGCCCTCCCCAGGCCCCATCCTGGAGCCTTTGCTCTTGCTGTCTATCTCCTGGGGAGCCAGGTGTCCAGTGGAAAGACGGGGTTCCAAGCCACAGAGACCTGGACTCAGGTTCTATCCCTGCCACTTTATGGTTTGCACCGTCTTTAACTCTGAGCTGTATTATGAGACCACAAAGGTGATTGCTGTTGAGTCCAGGGCTCTTCAGACAATAGCCCTACATCCTTGGTCTCAGAACCCAGAGGGAAGGGACCTCGCTTTTGTTGAGCATTTGTCATGTGCCAGGCTTTGTCCTGGGCATTTTAAGGATGGCCTGCTTACTCTTCACAGCAACCCCAAGAAGGTAGTCAGAAACTGGATTTGCAGAGCCCAGCGTGGGAGCCAGTATCCCCATGTGCTAATTGGAGCTTAAATTTAATGAAATGAAGTTAAATGGGCCGGGCACGGTGGCTCATGCCTGAAATCCCAGCACTTTGGGAGGCTGAGACAGGAGGATTGCCTGAGCCCAAGAGTTCGAGATCAGCTTGGGCAACATGGCGAGGACTCATCTCTACTAAGAATCAAAACAAATTAGCCAGGGGTGGTTATGCACGCCTGTAGTCCCAGCTACTCAGGAAGCTGAGACAGTGGGATAGCTTGAGCCCAGGAGGTCGAGGCTGCAGTGAACCATGTTTGCAGCACTGCACTCCAGCCTGGGTGGATAGAGCCAAATCCTGTCTTAAAAGAAAAAAAAAGAAGAAGAAGAAGAAAAGAAAATAGTTAAATGGAATTTAAACTCAACTCCTCAGTTGCACTGGCCACACATGTGCAGTAGCACATGTGGCCCCTGCCTCCTGTTTCGGGCAGCACAAATCAACATTTCCAATACTGCAGAAATTCTGTTGGCCAGCAGTGTACTGTGTTATCCCATTTCATAGGTGTGAAGTTGAGGATGGTTGGTGATTGTCATGCGTAGGGTCTCAGTTGGATGAGGCAAAGTGGGACATAAACCTGTGCCCATCAGTGCAACATAGCTTTCAGCACCAACATTCTAGGCTCTCCAAGCCCAGCCCAGATAGCTCCCCTTTCATGAGCCTTCCATGAGTCTGAAGGCCATGGACTGTTTTCTCTGCATCCTGATGCTGAGCCCAAGGCCTGCCCCAGGGCAGGCACTTTGGGGTGAGTATCTGGAGTGGGTGATGGAAGGAATGACTGACTGAACATGGTCTGCTGAAACTTTGGGGCGAACTCACTCCCCTCCTGATAGAACTAATGTGGGGAGGGCAGAGCCAGCTGCTGAGGAGTGATGGATGGCCCCTCTCCCAAGATAAATGTGGCAGTCAAGGTAATCGGATTGTGTGTGACGGTCTAATTTGTAGGCGAGGGGAGGAAGCGCCCAGCCATGCCTCGCCCCAGCCGCCCGTATTAGTTTAATCAAATGCCCAGTATCTAAATGACTGGGCCCAAGTGATGGATGATGTGAGCTTTGTTAAATGTTGTTGCCCTGTCGAGCCAAACTTCCCAAGGCCCTGCCCGGCTCCTGGACTGTTTAATTTGTTTTTTCTTGCTTGGTTATCTCTGCGTGGGGCAGGGAAGGGGGGGCTGGAGCTCTCCTGTCTGTCTTAAAGCCTCTGGTTTTTCATGGAGGAGAAGAGAGAGGAGGCCAGACCTAGGGGAGGAGTGGGAGGGAGTCACCTTCTGCCTCTCCTGAGAAGCCTTCCTGGGTCGCTGCACAGTCTTGAGGAGCCCAACTCCCCAGAACCCTTCAACAGGGCTTCATCGTGCACCGTGTGGCTTCTTCTGTTCCATGCAGACTCACCCTCACCCTGTGCTTCTCACTCCATTAATGGGGTATTTTGGGATGCAGGACATTCTTCCATAGGAAAATTTATCAAGTTTCCCTAATGCTTAGTGCTTGTGTTTCTTGAGAATTTCCCCAAACCCCAGATCATGAAGATATTCTCTATCACCTTCTTTTTTTTTTTTTTTTGAGGTGGTGTCTCACTCAGTTGCCCAGGCTGGAGTGCAGTGGTGCAATCTCAGCTCACTGCAACTTCTGCCTCCCAGGTTCAAGTGATTCTCCTGCCTCAGCCTCCCCAGTAGCTGGGATTACAGGCTCACACCACGCCCTGCTAATTTTGTATTTTTAGTAGAGACAGGGTTTCACCATGTTGGCCAAGCTGGTCTCAAAGTCCTGACCTCAAGTGATCTGCCTGCCTTGGCCTCCAAAAGTGCTGGGATTACAGGTGTAAGCCACCGCGCCCAGCCTTTCCTCTGTCACCTTCTAGACAGTATGTTGTTTTGCTCCCCCTCTCTCCACTCCCCTCGACTTTTTGTTGGTCTGTGGTGTGAGGTAAGGGTCACGTTTCCGGTCTGGTCATTCTGAGCTCTGAGCGTCTGCTGTGTGCCCCAGACTAGGCTGTGTCCTAGCAAGAGACAAAAGATGAAAGAGGCACAGGCGTGACAGTGAGTTTGAGTTCAAAACAGCATGCATACTCTGCCAGGCTTTGTGTACCTGCAGTGCCCTGCCTTCCATCAGTGTTAATTGTCACCTGTGTGCCAGGTATTGTTCTAGGCACTGGGGATGTGCTGGCGAATGTAGCACATGGGAACCCTAGCCCTGGTAGAGCTTTTGTTCCAGCATGGAGGGAGGGGAATCAGGACTTTAAAAGCAGGTGGTGATAGGTGCTCTGAAGAACAATGAGGCAGGGGAGGAAAATAGAGGGAGTCGGTGGTGGGGAGGTACGACAATTCATAAACGGTCAGGTCAGGGAAACTCTGGCTGCATGAGGATGAGGGGGTGAGTGAATCACGTGGCTGTCCAGGACGAGAACCTTCCAGGCAGAGGTGGCAAAGTCTCTGGTAGGTGCCAAGGATAGAATAACCCTGGAAGGAAAAACCCAAAGCCACCAGCAGTGGTTCCCCTTTGGAAGGAATGGCAACAGGGAGGCGTCAAGGAGACTGTTTTTCAATGCACGCCTTTTATTCGGCTTCTGTATATTTCTAATTACTTCTTCAAAATAGCATTTCAAAGTGAAGAAATGGAACGGTGAGGTGGAATCATCGGATGTGATGGGGAAACTGGGTTTGGAGGCTGGGGAAACATTAGCTTTATAAGGAGAATGGATTTGTGTAGTACTTATGTAAATGAAAAGTAATTGTATTAATTAAAACTAAATAGATCCCACTCTGCTGTTTTCGCTGGTTGTCCTTGGGCAGGTTTTCTTAACCTCTCTGAACACTAGTTTCCTCCTATCAAATCAGGGTAGTTGTCTCCACAGGATTGTCAGGAAAATGAACAGAGAAAGGAGGCGTGTCTCATTTCTGCCTAGCCTGCAGCTGACCTTCCCGAGGACACGTCCCTGCATGACCTGGCTCTCTTCAGGGCAGAGAGAGACTGTATCCCTGTCTTCAGATTCTCCAGGGGTTCGAGACCCCAGAAAGGCCCAGACTCTGCACTCCGGCTCCCCCAAGGGTAGTTGGATGTGCTCCAGACCCCCAGGCTGAGCGTCATGAAAGACCCTGTGGCCCCGCCGGGTGGTCGGGTTTTTGACCCGGCCGGCCCCTCAGAGGCCCATCCAGTTCGTGCTTGCCCAACTGGTGCGCGCTCAGCTCAGGCCAGCTGGTCACCCAGCTCCAATGCCCCTCCCTACCCGGTGTTCCCTTCCCTCTCCCTACATTCCGTGTTAATTTTTCATGGCCTCCATCAGAGGCAGAAGGCAGAGAGCTGTTTTCTGCAGGGAGAGAGCAGGCGCTGGAGGGGGAGGAGGGAGAGAGCTGCGTGCTGATTAAACACTGCAGAGGCCTAAACAAATGACGGCTCCCTCCCCCAGCTGCTCTGGAAGAGAAACAGGGAGCCTGGCCTGAACTGCAGATGGCCCAGGCTGCTGTCTGTCCCTCGCCTACCTGGGGCTGCTTCCTAGAGCCGGCAGTGAGGCGGAGCCTGCAGGACCTAGTTCAGTTCTTACAGCCACTCTGTGAAGCAGGCTCCAAGGCAGAGGGCTGAGGGACACCAGCAAGTGGTGTTGCTGAGAGATGCCGGGCAGGGGACAACAATGCCCTCTCAGAGTAGAAGCTTTAATTAGACCACACATGCAAAGTGCTCAGAACAGTGCCTGGTCTGAATCAAGTTCTCCATCCATAGCCACTGTCAAGGTTACCTTGTTACACCTTTAGAGCACCGAGGTGAGATAGGTTTGCATGCAGGCAAAGAAACCAAGGTGCACACGCCTGCCAAGATCACATAGTTCATAACTAGTAGATAAAGCCAGGGCTCCATGTGCCTGACACCCTTGTAAGAGTCCTTTCTCCTGTCTCATAGGCCAGGGAGAGAGAGCTCAGGGTCAAATCTCCAGAGCTTTGAATGCAAAGGTCAGGGGAGGTCCACAGCAGTATCAGCGAACGTTTGCCAAGCACATGCTTCTGCTGGCCCTAAGAACTTGCTTATGTCCTGAACCCAGAAGGGGAGAGAAAAGAATGTTTCCCCCCTCATCTTGTTCATGGAGTAACAGAGCACCTGCATCTTGCAGGCACTGAGCTCATCCCTTGGTCTCGAGCAGTGGTTCTCAAAGTGGGGTCCCCAGGTCAGCAGCATCAGCAGCACCTGAGACCTGGCTAGAAATGTATTCGTTGGCTCCACCCCAGACCCACTGAATCAGAAACCCCACTGGGGGTGGAGCCCAACATGCATGTGTTTTAACAAGCCTTCCAGATTATTCTAATGCATGGGCAAGATTGAGAATCCCTGGCCTGGAGATCCAGGCTGCAGTGAATCATTCAGCCCTGCTCTGGGACCGCACCATCCAGACATCACCCCAAGTGTGTTACACTGAGTAACAGGTGCAGCCAGGAAGCACCAGATGTAAATGGCATTCTTATAAACCATTTTGATTTTCATTGCAACAAGGCAACTGGATATTTAAAGAAACCTCACAGAGAACCATTTCATCAGGTAAAGAATCTTCTACAAAAAGAGAAATTCTCTCATTTCCTCCCTCCCCTCAGTGTTCTATAAATTCAGTCCCTATCTCAGGTTGTCTTGAACGGCGTGTGCTTGTGCACGACTAAAACCGGTAGCTAGCATGCTAAAAGAGTGACATGTATTCTCCAGAATGCACAGGGACCCCTGCAGCTGGGAAGGAGGGCCCAGAGCAATGAATGGAGACCAGTCTGGTGTTTGGGCAGCCAGTGGGCATCCACTGGGCAATCTGCTGGGGACTTGGAGAGGTTTAATAACAGCCAGGCATATGTGATTTCCAGGGCTGTCAAGCCTCCATACTCTGGGTTTCTCGGAAAAGGAATGGAACGACCGATTAGGAAGTCAAGACGTAGAAACATGAAATGTGCCAGCCGTCAGCTGCTTCTGCTGGATGAATGGATAAGAGGGAAAACCCTACAACAGGTTTTGGGTCGAGAACCCATCTGAAGGTTGTCATCTCCCATAGCACAGGGTCAGAAGGGAGCGCGTAAGTACCACTGCATGCGCCAGCGCAGTGGCGCAGTGACAGAGATGGTGCCATGCGCTCCTGAGCTTACAACACGTGTTTCCAGAGTGGTCACAGCTGGCGTGGAGCCTGACCTCGTGGCTTCGGTCTTTGCAGGGTTTAGACCTCAGGTGCACTAGCTCAGAGTTAGAGGAACGAATAGCCTTCTGAGTTTCTTGCATCAGGAACCTGAGAGTCTTGGCAATTAACCAAGTCAGTCAGGCACTGTAAGCAGGGAAGGGTGGGGTGGAGTCGGGGGTGCAAATGGTTGGAGGTGAGATGGTAGAGTCTGGTCAGCAGAGTCACCCAGCAAAGCGCAGCCCATCTCAGTTCCTCTCCTGCCCCTTGTTACCACGGCACAGGTCTCCTGAGTCACTCTTCAGGTTTGGGAAGATTTGTGGGTGTTTTCTTTGTAATAAACAGTGATGCCCTAGGCTCACCACCTCCCCAAGGCTTAGTGTCAGCACCGGGCCCCCAGGACAGAGCCCATACTCTGGATTCATGAGCCCAGGCTGGGTGGAATGAAGCCACTTGAGAGGTCCTGGGGGTTGTCACTGGCAGGAAAAACCAAGGGCTTGGAATTGGACACTAAGGGTTGAGGTCAAATCAAATCAAGGGAGTACATGACAAGGTCTCTCGGTGCTCAAACACATGGTCTCTTGCCGTCTGTGAAGTCCGGACAGCCATGATGTGTAGACCCCAGGGTCTTTTTGACCCTAGGGAAGGCCCAGCCTCACTCCAACCACTTCTTCTTATGCTGGGTGGGAGAGGACACAGCTAAACTGCCTACACCCACCTGGGAAGGGTAAGGAGGGGACCTCCTCAGAAAAGTAAATTATGCAGGGAAGAAATTGATTCACATAACCCCTCCTTACCCTTCCATCTCCCTGAGAGCCAGCAACGGGCAGTGATGTTTAGCCCCGAGGAAAAATTACATGCGGAATGGAAAGCAGGCGCTCAGGGTGGCTCCTGCTGGAATGAGAGCTGGAGTGCAGGCTCCGTGGTTCCTGGGCATGCGGGTGTGGCTCAGTTCTCACCTTGCAGATGGAGTGGGACTGTTGACCCAGGCCAGCCTGGGGACTGCCTCCTCACCTCCCTGCGCAGGCTGACCTTGTCACCTTGCCTCTTGAGCTTGCCTCTCTCCTGCCCAGAGGTCCTTGGAGCAAAATGGAGGTCGAGAGGCATTTGGCACTCACGCCTCACCACGGACACTGGTGCATTCTTGGGTACCTCTTGGCCTCAATCTATTGCTGGGGGAGGGAGGACTGAGGCCCATTGCTGGGGCCCTGAATGCAGGGACTGTAACCACCCATCCCCTTCTCAGGGCACCTCTCCCCTCTCCAGCACGCTTGCTTTGCTATTAGTGCTACCTAATTTCCTACTGAGGTGGTCTAGAGCTCCTCCGCCATTGCCCTGCCGCCAGCAAATTTTTATCCCTAGGGTAAGATGACAGAGGCCAGCCTTGGCCCTGGCCTGCCACATACTCAGGTGTGCACTGAGGCACAGTATCTAGTTTCTCCAAGATAGGGGCTGTGACCTGTGACTACCCCACCTCCGGAGGGGCTTGTGAGGGTCTGAGGAACGAGGAAATGTGAGCCAGCCCCTCACAAGGGCACAGTACATGGTGACAGCTCCTGTGAGCTGTTCTCAGCTAAAAGTGCATGGTAGGACTAAGGGGGCACTTTGCAGAAGCATTTATTGGGGTACCCCCAAAAAGAAAGGGGGGCATTCCCTTTCTGTGGACAACACCCTCTTGAGCTTGTTTTGGGATGTCTTTGATGGCCCCTGAGTTAGAGATGATAGTGTGAGGTGGCAGGGAATTTTCTGGGCTGGGGTTTTAGTCTGGCGTCTTATCCTGGGTCCATGCATCCTGCCCAGCCTCCACTGGGTGAGGCATGGCCAAACCGGTTTGGGAAACAGCACTGACAAAACTAGCCCTGACGGCTCTGAGGTTCCCTGGAGTTCAGTTCCCAGGGTGAGTTCACACGCCTCGAGGCTCCCAGTTCCCAGCTCCTGACAACCCGGGCAGCCCTTGGGGAGAGGGGGCGGGCGTGCGAGGAGTGTTCCTAGAGGGAGGGACAGGCTGTAGGCCCTCTCTCAGGCCAGACTGGACCACAGGACCTGAGAAGGCAGGACCTGCCCAGCACAGGGAAGCAGGTAGGGCAGGGTGAGCTGGGCCGGGAGCCTGCTTGCAGATCCCAGGCCACCTGCACCACCCAACTAGCCAGTCCTCCCTATGCACAGGGCTTCAGCTTGTGTGGGGACCGGGGGTGGGGGCAGCAGAGACGGACAGGGTCACTCGCAGCCCAAGCGCCAGCAGACAACTCCTTTTTTTTCTTTTCTTTTTTTTTTTTTTTTTGGCCTTTCTTACCCACAAGTGATGGTGATAGAGGTACAGGGAGCAGAACATGGGAATGATCTAGAAAACTCAGGAGGAGCTGAAACTCAGTTCAGCTTGCTACTGATGGTGCTGAGGCAGCAATACCATCAGTCTGCCGGAGACTGAGATTTTCCCCCAAGGAAAACCTCTCTGATGTAGGTTCCAGGGGTCAGCTGTCAGGGTCACCAGAGTCCAACTCACAATGCCCCAGAAGTGATGTTTTCTATAACCAAGGAGAAGGCCTAGCCCCTCAGCAGCCCCAGCAGCTGAGACCACAGGGTGCTCCCCACCCATCCACTCTCCTAGGACCCTGTCACCCTCAGAGTCCTGCAAGCATCGGCTGTTTGACCTCAGCGAATCCACTCTACTCTCTGGGCTTTGGCCTTGATCAACGGAGCAGCCCAACAGGGTGAGCTCTCTGGAGCCCCTTCCATCTGTAATCCCTGCTAGCGGTGTGGAGAGGCAGTCCACCCCAAGTGTGCAGACAGACAGCTCACCCCATATCACCTGCAAGATTGAGAAGAAGTCATGCAAGGTCAAGACTGGCCTGCGCCCTGAGAAACGTGACCCCACTTGGAGGCCAGGGCTGATTCAGGGGGCCACAGACTTCAGAGAGCAGTGCCCACCCCCTGTCTTTTACATGTGGCCAGAGACGGGAGGAAGTTGCCCACAGTCACACAGGAGGTTCAAGAAGCTGGGGTTGGCACCAAGTCTTAGGAGTGGGAGGCAGGCAGGAGGCACAGAGCTGTCTCCTGGGGATATGCCTGCTCTCAGACATGATGTCACAGAATTATGGGCATGAAAGTGGGGCCTTCGCGTACCAGCAGTGGGCGGGGCCGTTGTCCTGTGGAGTGACTGTTTGAATCACCCCTTCTTGGGCCTGGATTTCCCTTTTGTAAAATACAGGTAGTGTAATCCTTGGCAGGGTCCTAATTGGGTCTTGGGAGGTTTGAATGAAGTAGGAAGAACCACACGGCTGGGAGAACCAAAAGGTTGTGTGCTCCCACGGCCCGGTTAGATCCTCATCCACAGCAGGGTGAGTCGGGCCAGAAGGGGTGCCCCATCTTACAGAAGCACACACATGGCCCTGAGGCTGCACTGATGGTGCGGTGGTCTCGCTAGAGCCAACCCTGGTCTCCTGGGGCCCAGTAGTCACTGCCCCCGGTCCGAGGACTGTGAGTCTCTGTGGTCATGTGCTTCCTGTGCTATTTCCTCCTGGGAGATGACCCAAGAGAGCTGGCAGGGAGGAGGCCCCTTTTCCTATTTCTGGGGCACCCAGCAGTGACGGGTCTACAGGCAGGAAGTCCAGCCCCAGAGCCCCAGCCTCCAGCCGGGCAGAGTAACAATTCTGCGGCTAGTTCTGTTCTCAGGGCTCATGAGTCAGACCACTCATTCCTGCTTTGAGTAAATCAGCCAGAGTAGGAATCCTAGTTCCTGCCCGTCTCCCACCTCCTTCTGGACACAGTGGAATGGGGCTGAGGAGGGGCTTGGGCTCTGCCCACCGCCCAGGCCTCCTATTGTGGAGAGGACAGCTGCAAAGTCCCCCCAGCCCCTGTACCCACACACTCCAGAGGAGGAAGGGGTCTGCCTAGACCAGCCTCCTGGCACTGCTTGGCCTGAGAGCAGAGTCAGAAATGAGTGCCTGTCGGGGTGGCCCTGTGAGGGCCTGGGGTGTCTGGATGTGGGCACAGTTGGGTGCTAGGGGAGCACCCAGTCCAGTAGGGAAGGGGGCACTGTCTGCCCCAGGGAGCACCCAGTGTGAAGGGGTGGTGTGAGGCTGGGCACTCCTGAGCATCTGCATGATTTTCTTGGAGATGGGTGAAAGAAATTGTATTTTATTTGAGCAATTTTCTACAGTACTTAGGTGGAGAAATGGAGCACCCTCTGCATCCCAAGGGAACATGTATACTACAGCAACACTGCTAACAGTTTATTCCCATGTAATGCTTTCTACATGCCTGGTATTGTACCAACATTCTATGTATAGTAACTTACTTAATCCTCATGGTAATTTAGGTGGTAGGTGCTACTTATTATCCCCATTTTGCAGAAGGGAAAACCAAAGCACAGAGAGCTAAAGTAACTTACCCAAGATCACACAGCTGCTACGTGGCTGAGCTGGGATTTGAACCCAGGCAGCCTGGCTCCAGAGCTTGTGTTCTTGGTCACTCTGCCTCCTGGAGGCAGGAGACAGCATATTACTGCTTTTGGTTTCCAGGTGGGACTCTGGTGTGAGATGGGCCGTCTCTCACTTGTGTTGACAAAGGGGCCCTTCCTTCACCTCATGGTTCCTCACACCAGGCCAGTGAGCAGGAGAGGTTCCTCTTAGTGTCTGTCCATTTTAGAGATTTGATGAGGAGTCCAGGCCCGTGTTGACTCAAACCCCTGTGTCTGCTGCACTCTCCCGCCCCTCCCAAGCCCTCACCACCACTTCTTTTCTGTGCATGGCTATAGAACTTGGGGTCCCAGGGATATTCAGGAGACCCCATTGCCTTGAACTCCCAGGCTTCCCCGGTCCCAGGACCCTGTGTTTGGGAGCTGAAAGAGGAGGATCAGAGGGTAGGGGAGCACGGCCTGGGCCCAGGAGCAGAAGGAGCAGCACTATCTCCAGGGAGCCCTGGGTGAGATGCTGGGAACATCTCACTAACATGAACAGCAGCGCCGGCCCCTGAGCAGAGGACGACCAGGGCTGTGGCTGGCCCCCACGCTGTATGAACTGTTGCTGCTGTGAACTGCTTGCCTCCTGTTCCCCGTGACTGGGGTGGCTGTGCATGTCATGAAACATGTGTCATGTGACTCAGTTGTAGGTTTTATTTGAGGACAGCACCAGTCTCTGGACACATTCGTGATGAGATTCCTTTCAGAACCCTGTTTCTGAAGCTGGTTTCCTGCCCCCAGGAATGGGGAGCTGCTGGTAGGTTTAAAGGCCGCTGAGCGCCTGGTCACAGATGCTGCTCCAGTTGTCCGGGTCTCAGTGTCTGTCCTTCCTTCCCAGTCGTCTCAGCATATTGGGTTATTTCTAGCTGTGATTCATGTCAGTGTGTTAGTCATCTGTTGGCTGCATAGCATGTGCTAAACGCCGTGCTGGGTGCCAGGGTTGTAGAAGTGAAGCCCCCAAATCCGATCGTGGCCCCAGGGGCTCATGCTGTCGCTACGGAGCACCATGGCATTCCCCTGGGTAGTGTGGCCCAAGATTCGTGTCTGCATCCATCAAGCAACTGCCATCTACCAGGCCCTGTGCAGCCTCTGGGGATACAGATTGGAAAGAGGTAATCAGAATGCATGGGTGGAAGAAGTCCTCTGACCGCGTTGCAGAGGGCAGGTTGGCAGGAGGCAGGTTTGGAGATGGAGAGGAATGACAGGATGCTGTTGTCATAATTCAGAGGAGAACCGGCAGGGCTGCAGAAGGTGATTGGATTGGAGCAGGCAAGGAGCAAAGGGAACAGACTGCAAAGATCATCAGGATGTGGTGACCAGCGGGTGGGACAGGGAGGGGCCCGTCTTCCTGAGGCAGCTCGAGGTGCTCCCTGGGATTCTAGTGGATGTGGGAGCAGGAACTTGCGACATGTCAGAGGGGAGAGTGTGAGGACCAGTGTGGGGGCCTGGCTCTCCTGCCCCTGACTCAACAGGCAAGCCCCTGCAGCTCCCATGCCCAGTCTCCCCCGCTGCGGAGTGGCGCCACTCTCACTGCTGCTGCTACTTCAGAGGGTCTTGTGTGGCCTTTTGTAAGCTCATGGGATGGAAGCATCTGAAAATGTATCATTCATATTTTTATTGGAATCATGAATCCCACTTGCCACCTGCCAGGGCATGGTTTGAGGATGAGAGGGCCCTGCTTCAAGATGCTGCTGCCATTGCTTCGCAGGCCTCTTCCTGGGCCCCTCTGAGTGCTGCCCCATCCCTGGGGGTCTCCTGGGTCTCAGAAGCACCCCTCCCAACACCTCCCCCCAACACACACACACACACACACACACACACACACACTTTCTCTGTTCTCCAGCAGCCTTTTAGCTGCTAAGATGCTCTTTGATACTTAGGCCTTTGTTTCATTTTGCGTGTGGCTTCCCCAGGCTGCAGTGTGTTCGATGACTCTCCCGCCCAGCCATACATCCAGGCTTCTGTTCCCTTCTCCAGATGGCCTTTCATCCCTCCCAGCCTCCCCCTGCACCCCACTGCTGCTGTCATCCATTCCTGACCGCCAGATCTTACCAGGAGCAAGCATCCCAGGCTTCTCACTGTCCGCACCTCCCCTTGCCTGGCTCCATCAGGAGCGCCTCTTTCCCTATGGCTGCTGTGGCTGCCTCTGCTTTCTTGCTCCTTTTCAAGCCAAGTGCAGCCTGGCGAGGAAGCCTTTCCCAGGTGCCCAGGTGAGCGTACCTGCTCCCCGTGACACCCGACCCGATCGATGCTAACAAAGGCTGGTCACTCGGCCTGTCTGAACAGTACATGTAGATCCACCCTCCTCACCTGGCACTCAGGCGATTCCTGAACTAGGGCTGCACTCCTCTGCCTCTCACCTCCTCATTTGGTCAGCCAGTCCTGGGCGTCTGTGCTGCTAGGAGCTACAGGTACAGGGGCAAATACAGGGCCTGTCACTGCCCCTGGGGAGGGCACGCCTGAGCAAGCCAGGACCAGCTGCCCCGGCATCCTCACTCAGGCCTGCCTCACCCGACATCTGGTTTCATTTTTTCCCCCTAACGGACAGACAGTATGGGGGCTGCTGGCTACAGGGGAGTTGCTGGAAAGGTCTTGGGGAAGCAGATGTTGGGAAGCTGGCTCTTCCTCGGTGCCTTCCTGCCTGGTCCCCTTCTGATCCTCAGAGCCAGTGCTTGTTCACTCCCTTTTCTGTTTTAGATGAGTGACCACAGGGTCACTGGCTAGTGTTGGTGCTGCCTTCGCCATAGCATCCTTGGGTGCAGCTGGTGCAGGGCCCTTAGACATATCCACTGGGTCCCATTTATAGAAGATACCAGCCCTGGTCGCACACACCACTATTTCACATGCCACTAAGAAGGAAGAATGCGCCGCCGATCATACTATGGCACAGCGCCACTGGAGGACACGTGTTGCTTGTCAGTGATCTTGGTTAAGTCACGGCTGGTGTGGAGTGGGAACCCTGGTGTCCCCGTGGCTTCCTGGAGACGCTACAAAGACTAGCATAGGCAACAGGAGCATGAGGTCAACTGTCGCTTCTGCTGAGGTCAACTCTCCCTTCTGCTGGCCCCTCAGGGCTGCTGCTTCCCTGCGGATGTGGCAGTGACTATCTGGATCTTATCTACTAAAAGCCAGGGCCCTAGAGGGGGTCATGGGAGAGGCTGGGTCTGGGTCTTGGGCTGTTCTGGATCCTGGGGAACTGTCCCCACTACCCCCACAAAAGATGGCCACTATTGAGGGGTTGCTGTGGGAGTCCCATGGGGTGTCCTAGGGAAAGAAGAAGTAATGCCTTCCCTCCAGGGCCACCGGCGCCTTGCCACCAGCTGAAGCAGAGGCACAGCTGCCTCCAAATGGGGAATTGATTTTTGCTTCCTGCATCTCAGAGCAGGACACTCGATGTCCTCATTCTACCCCTAGGCGGCTCAGAAGGAGGCAGGGGGAAGGGGCCCTGTGCAACATGTGTGCCAGATGAGCACACAGGCCTGCTCATCTACTCAGGGCCCCCACCATCTCCATGAACTTCTGGAGCTTCGTGCCTGCCCAGGCCCTTTGTCTCACCCTCTGCTATGTGATCAGAAGCAGAGATGCAAAGTCCCAGGACCATCCTGTTGTTCTCTTCTCTACTGAGCGAGGCAGAAACACCAATCGTGGTGTAATGAGCATATGCAGGGATTTGTGTGCCTGGCTCCCCTGGGCTTCATGGAGGTAACGCGGTCCCATCCATATGGCTACCCTAGGAGATGAGGAAACTGGGGTGCAGGAAGGTTAAGTCACTTGCTCAAGGTGTCACACAGTAACAGACAACTGGGATCAGGTCTTGGGTGTTGGTTTCAGGCTATGCCTCAGCAGCCTTCACAGTGTTCTGGGATGCGGAGTTGGATATGGGGTTGCAGGGATTGGTGAGGGTCCTTGGCCCTCCGCCCACCCTGCACACTTGCTGGCTTCTACTTGGATATCACAGGGGTTGGCTTGCAACACTAATTTACACCCCATATCCAGTGAAGCAGGCAGCTCCTGTTAAACCCATTTTATAGATGGGAAACTGGAGGAAGCACCATTAGAGATGAGCCTTAAAGAAGTGCAAGTTCTATAAGGAAAGAGGCATGAAATTGCAGGGTGTCTTGTGGGGCTGGCGCATAGAGAGGTGGGCCTGGAGCCTGCTGGGCAGAGGGGGCTTACGAATAAGAGACCACCTTCTGTCTGGAAGGCTCTTTCTTGCCTGCTACAAGCAGAGCACACACGGCGCTGAGAGGCTCTTCGTGCTAACTACATGCCAGACACTTTTAAACACTTTGTAGGTGTTAGTGTCATTCGATAGCACAGTAAGGCTGGGCTCAGTGGCTTATGCCTGTAATCCAAGTACTTTGGGAGGCCGAGGTGGGTGGATCACTTGAAGCCAGGAGTTCGAAACCAGCCTGGCCAACATGGCAAAACTCCATCTCTACCAAAAATATATATATATACACACACACAAAATTAGCCAGGCGTGATGGTGCACAACTGTAGTCCCAGCTACTCGGGATGCTGAGGCACAAGAATCGCTTGAATCCGGGAGGCAGATGTTGCAGTGAGCCAAGATCGCACCACTGCACTCCAGCCTGGGTGACAGAACAAGACTGTCTCAAAAAAAAAAGAAAAAAAATAGCACAATAACCCTAAAGAGTAAGCATTAACATTTGGCAGATAAACCGAAGCCCAGAGAGATTGTACTGTTTGCCTAAGGTCACGTAGGTGTGAAGGGAATGAGGTTTCGAATCGAATCCAGACTTTCGGAGTCCCTTACCCTGAACCACAGGGTTGTAGCTGCCAGCTGAGGTCAGGAGAGATGAGCGCCAAGGCGTCCTCCCAGCCTGCGGAGCTTTGCACGTCATCTTAAGTGGTTTGGACTCAGCAGTGGGGGCCATGTGCGGTTTCAGCAGGAGTGCTAGCCTCGCCTGCTTCACCGCAGTACCTCCAGAACACACAAGGTGCTCAGCAGCCAGTTGTTGAATGAACGTTGGGTGAGTGATAGAACACCTTGGTACTGTAGGTTAGAATGGATCGAGGTGAGGGAGTCTGGTCACAAGGATGCAGTTTGGAGAGGTGAGGGGAGCTCAGTGGGTTCACTTTAGACGAGTTGGGTGGTGCGTGCTTTTACGTTTTACGCTGAGACATTTGAGGAGTGCTTGGAAGTCTGGATTAAGGCTCAGCATTGGCAGTTCGAGTCTGGGATGATTCCCTGCTGCTGTCCCAGCCCCAGCTGTGGTCACCATGAGGTGAGCTGGAAGGCCCCAAGGTCCTCGGCACCAGCCCCTGGACAGGCTGGAGAGGATGACAGGGGATGGGGCTTGGTGAGGAGCCTGAGAGCCCAGTTTCTGGGGTGCCTGTACCCAGCTCAGCACCTGCTTGATAAGAACCTGGTGCCTTGGGTGATGGGGGAGAGGGGATTTGTTTAGGGGTCAGAAGCAGTGCATTTGCAGGTGGTTGTGCCTCTATTTCTCCTCCCCCAAAGAAGGCTGTTACCCATCAGAGATCTTGCTGGAGGAGAGGGGGCAGTGGGTACTGCCATAGCTGTACTGTCAGCTTGGCTGACGGGGGGTGGTCCCATGGGCCTCTGTGGCCAGCTCTGCAGGCCCCCTCCTGACCCTAACCCCCTTTCTGTGGCTGAACCTCTGCTCCCAACAGCCCCTCCTGCTTCTTGGTTTCTTTTTTCTTTCTTTCTTTCTTTCCTTTTTGGAGGGGAATGGAGTCTTGCTGTGTTGCCCAGGCTGGAGGGCAGTGACGCGATCTCAGATCACTGCAGCCTCCACCTCCCGAGGTCAAGCAATTCTGCTCAGCCTCCCGAGTAGCTGAGATTAGAGGCGCTGGCTACCACACCTGGCTAATTTTTGTATTTTTAGTAGAGACAGCATTTCATTATATTGGCAAGGTTAGTCTCGAACTCCTGACCTCAAGTGATCTGCCCGCCTCAGCCTCCCAAACTGCTGTGATTACAGGTGTGAGCCATCACGCCCAGCCCCTGCTTCTTGGTTTCTGACAGGCAGAAGGCCTCCCCATGTTGACACCCCAGATTGGAAGGGGCCCAAAAAGTTTGCAGGGTGGAGCTACAATTCCTCTCCACGCCCCTTGGCAGGCTTTGGAGTATCTCACTGCCAATTGCTTAGCCCCTTGGAGGGTGGCCGTGGGTCTAATGGCATTCATTGACAGCTGTGCAAGTGATGTGTACGTGGGCCTCCCGCCGTGGGAGCACCAGGCAGGAGGCCAATCGTCACCCGTCTGTGGGAGAGAGGCAGTCACATGTACTGGCCAAGGCTGTCCTGGGCCCAAGCGAGCTGCATTTTATGAAGGGGGAAAGGGACATTGGGTCCTAGCTGCCATTTTAATTTGAAAATTGGGGACCTCTGTGTAAAAAGGGGCCTTTGGGGCCAGCTCTCTTAACCACTGGTAAGTGGGGCCCACAGGACAAGGGACAGGCTGGCCATGTTGGTTGCTTAGGCAGTAGAAGGCACTCTTGACCCTGCCTGCAGCACAGAGGGGCTCAGGTCAGGACTGACACTGCCCTCCCATTGCCTGGTATGCTCTGCGCACACCACACCAGGTCCTCCCGTCTCTCCCACTCACCCTGGGACTGTTTTTGCCATTCTAGCAAGTGCACAGACCAAAGGCACGCAGGTCAAAGAAGCATGCAGGCCAGCCCCGCCTAATTAGAGCAGACAGACTTCCCAGTCCAGATGTGTGAGTGACTGGCCAGGCGCACCCAGACACCCGCCCAGCTGGTGTCACTCTGTCTGTCCTTGCGTAATCCCCTGCCTGCCTCTGTCTGTCCCTGTCAGCCCTCCTGGTTCTCTCGACAGTGCCCAGACTCTCTTTTTGGCTGCGAATTCCCGGGTGTTGTCATTAACCCACGTTTGCCTCAGAACAACTTGTGTTGGTTTGCACCATAAGGAGAACACGCACAACATCCACTGCCCCGCATGCGGCTGCCAGCGTGGCCTCTGTGCTCACCGGCCTCGGGGGTGAGGGGTGGTGACTCCCCATCCCCCCACCACCTCTTGGTTGTAAGAAAGTGGCCTTTGTGGCTGGCTGATCCACATATCACGCCTGTTTGCGGCATGCCAGACTGTACAGCAAGGCCCTGTCACGCAGCCAGCCTGCCTTTATTCCCTTTATGGAAACCACTCCACTAGGGGCAGGAGGACAAGGGCTGTCCTTGGCTGAGCAGGGGGTGGCCCGTGACATTGGAGGAAAGCCCTGATTCCCCTGTGGTGCCTCCGCCCCCTGCATGGCAGGCCAGCCCCCAGGAGGAGCGAGGGCTGCGAGGGGTGGGGCGGGCAGCAGGCGGCACCATCTGTGGCCGTCCTTTGTGCTGGCAGTGGAGTGATCCCTCCGTCACTGCGATCCAGCGGGCCTCGTGCTTGGCGTGCAAATGAGTTTCCAGATGCCCAGTGCCCCCGCACAAGAGGCGGTACCTAGGGGCCTGGGAGAAGGATGGAGTGGGCTGGAGGCTCGTTTTTGTGTGTCCTGGCCTGCCCGAATAGGCTGCCTTTCCAGCTGTAGCACATGTGTGCTGGACACCCACATAGGGGTGTTTGTTGGTTTCTGTGCAGACACACATGACAGAGGAGAGTGTCTCTTCTCTCATACTGTCCTCCTTTTGAGGGTGGTGGCAAGGTGACCCCACGGAGGGGGGCAGGACACATCTTTTAAGACTTAGCTCATCCACCAGGCCCCCTCCTGGAGGGAGAAACAGGGCCCCTCTTGGGGACCACAGCCCCTGCTTGCCTTCTTGGTTGGGCATCTTTGTGTACCACACAAGCTGAGCAGATGGAGCAAGCAGCTCTGGCGACTTCTCGGGGCTTTGGGCTGACGGGAACCCCGTCCAGGATCTGGGCGGCTTGGGATGGCAGCCTGCCCAGCCACTCCCGGTCACTGTGCCTATGGGTGTCTTCCACCAGTGCCGGCCAAACGTGGTGGCGTACAAGAGGCCTGAGGGGTTCCTTATTGAGTCAGAGGGGCTGGGGAGCTGTGAACACCTAGGATTTTGCCTTCTGAAGGCTTTCACCTCCTCCCCACCTTCTGGTCCAGCCTCAGGCTCTACCACCAGGGCATGGGGCCAGGAGCAGGAGCACTGTCTCTGTCCCTGCTGACTCTGGCTGTGGTTACTGTGAGTAGCTTTGCCTGACTGGGCCCCCGTCTACTCATCTGTAGAATGAGGATAATAATAGCTAATGATGTCCTAGATGGTCAAGAAAAAAAAAGGATGCAGAAGCACGTTGTGCAGCATCCAGATGGGAGACCCTTGAAATGTGGAGTCGGCTTTGCACCCAGCCAAGTGGCTGAGCAGTTATGATTCAAAATATGCCTGGCCACTCTTGCCCATCGACTACTTCCATAACGCTCAGGTCACTCCCAGCAGGAGTAGGACATCAGCTGAGGTGTGGCCACCCTTTGTCCAGCATTCCACAGACCCAGCAGGCCCCCATCCGTCCCTCCCTGCAGCCTGGGAGGAAGGCAGGACACGAGGCATTACTCCTTTTTACCTCTAAGCAAACTGAGGCCCAGAGAGTCTGTGGGCTCCTGAAGTCAAACAGCAAGATGGTGACTGAGCGCAGCCAGTTCCCCAGCCCTCAGCGTCCTCATGTACTTCAGGAGGACAGGCCAGCTGAGACACGATGGACAGCCCAGGCTGAGACACGCTGGCCTGGGAGGCGCTTTTGGCTCCTGTGGCCACGTGGGGACAGTGAACAGTGAAAGAAAATGGAAGTTTTCCCCAGTCCCCAGTTCATGTGGGGCTCTCTTATCCCGGATGTGGATGGCTGCTCTGTGCTCCTGCCTTGGGCACCCCTGGCTGCCTCCTGCTTGGCCCCCCACCACCCTGGCCACCCTCTGCTCTGGACATCCTTTGTCTTCCTAGGCATTTGTGCCCAGCAGAGCAGGGACCAACCGTGGGTGTGACCAGAAGGTGTGTGCTAGGGGGCCAGTTTCTGGGCAGGAGTTTCAGGGACAGCCCTGCAGACACTCCTAGGTTGTCAGCAGATTCCAAGATTTTGTTCAAACCTTGTGATGTTTGAGCCCACCCATGGGGAGAAGCCACGCTTTGCCTCTGATCGAAGTGTGAGGGAGTGAGCTTCCCTGAGGGGGATCTGGGGTGGTGGGCAGCTGCTAAGCTTGCCCTGACTCAAGGTCTGTGTCAGGCCCCCTCACTCCTCCAGTTTCCACTTGGCACCATCTCTGCCACCCTTCCCATCATCCTGACTCTCCCCCTCTTTGCCTCCACGGACCACTACTTCCTGCACGCGGGCCATTCTGACCCCCTCTTCATGACAGAAACTTTTGTATCCTCCTTCAAGGGTGTCAGTCCCATCTTACAGTTGAGAATACTGAGGCCTCCCAAGAGGGCTGAGTAAGTCTTCTGGCGTCACACGAATCTGGGAGCAAAACCAGCATGGATAGCACCCAGTCTGGGGAGAGTTGGGGGGGGGTCTTGGTGTGGCAGAGCATGATGAACAAGCACCCACTGACTGTCCTGTCCTTCCTGCAGCCTTGTTGTCCTCCTGGTGCGAAGAGCTCGGCCGCCTGCTGCTGCTCCGACATCAGAAGAGCCGCCAGAGCGATCCCCCTGGGAAACTCCCCATGCAGCCCCCTCTCAGCTCCATGAGCTCCATGAAACCCACTCTGTCGCACAGGTAAGTGGGTGGGTGCCATGGGTGCAGGTACTGAGCAGACACCCCTCTGGTCTCAGATCTCCTTGGACATGTCCCTGGGGTGGGGGCCTCTGTGCAACCATGAGGATGTTGCATTTTCTAAGGTGCAGTTGTTTTTTTACATCTTCGTGGGTGAGCCCTGTTTCTCCCTCTCAAACAGGTTGAAAGCACTGAGTTTGTCACTTTGGTGGAGGCTGTTTTTCTTCAGGTTCTAGGCTTCTGGCAGAACGTTAGAAATTCTGAGCTCAGCACCTTCCCTCTTTCTTGACCAGGGTATTGGGCAAACCCAGAGAAACCAGGGGCTGACAGGGATCTCAGGAAGGCCACGGGGTTGGTGGTTCCAGCCAAGATGGGGACAGAGCCAGCCCAGGCCAGCCACCCTGGAGCCAAGTAAGACTGGGCTGGGTCCACCAGAAGCCCAGGGTCACAGGCAGGCATGGGCTTGCTGGAGGCCGACAGCACCGAGGGATTGTCCAGTCCACCTGTGCCAGCCTCAGAAGGAGCACGTGGCCAGGACTGGCAATTCCCCCAGTTAATTATCTTTTGAGTCCCTTGCTGAGCTGGGGATGCTCTCTCTGAGCGCTCTGCAGGCTGACCCTGCAACAACAGGGCCTGTCATGCTGTCTGCTCTCCCCTGTGTGTGTCTCCGCTAATGATCAGGAGGGTCATTTGCAGTCAGAGCTCGGCTCTCATTATCCAGCCTGACTGAGGGACCCGCAGCCCAGAGCACACTGCAGGCAGACCTGGGTCGCACCATCGAGGTGCTGCTGGGAACTCGGGTGTCAGCCACGCTTTATAAATCGAATTAGAGGCTTGTTGACTTTCTGAGCTGGAAAGGACCTTAGTGCTCATCATGTCCAGTGCCCTCCCTGGGCCTGATTGCCCCTGACATGTGGTTGCCTGCCTTGGTCATAAGCCCTTTGTACCATCGCAAGCCCACCACCACCCAAGGGCACTGCCTCCTCAGATCCTGGGTCTGGCTGCTGAGCAGCTCCAAGCTTCTCTTCTGTAGCAGTGTTCCTTAGTGCATTTACACAGGGTAGTTTTTCTTTTTATTATTATTATTTATTATTATTATTATTTTAATTCTTTTTTTTAATTTTTTTTAGTATTTATTGATCATTCTTGGGTGTTTCTCGGAGAGGGGGATTTGGCAGGGTCATAGGACAATAGTGCAGGGAAGGTCAGCAGATAAACACGTGAACAAAGGTCTCTGGTTTTCCTAGGCAGAGGGTCCTGCCGCCCTCCGCAGTGTTTGTGTCCCTGGGTACTTGAGATTAGGGAGTGGTGATGACTCTTAACGAGCATGCTGCCTTCAAGCATCTGTTTAACAAAGCACATCTTGCACCGCCCTTAATCCATTTAACCCTTAGTGGACACAGCACATGTTTCAGAGAGCACGGGGTTGGGGGTAAGGTTATAGATTAACAGCATCCCAAGGCAGAAGAATTTTTCTTAGTACAGAACAAAATGGAGTCTCCTATGTCTACTTCTTTCTACACAGACACAGTAACAATCTGATCTCTCTTTCTTTTCCCCACATTTCCCCCTTTTCTATTCGACAAAACCACCATCATCATCATGGCCCGTTCTCAATGAGCTGTTGGGTACACCTCCCAGACAGGGTGGTGGCGGGGCAGAGGGGCTCCTCACTTCCCAGACGGGGTGGCCGGGCAGAGGCGCCACCCACGTCCCAGACGGGGCGGCGGCCGGGCGGGGGCTGCCCCCCACCTCCAGGACGGGGCAGCTGGCCGGACAGGGGCTGCCCCCCACCTCCCGGACGGGGCGGCTGGCCGGACGGGGGCTGCCCCCGACCTCCCGGACGGGGCAGCTGCCAGGGGGAGGGGCTCCTCACTTCCCGGACGGGGCGGCTGCCGGGCGGTGGGGCTCCTCACTTCTCAGACTGGGCGGCCGGTCAGAGACGCTCCTCACCTCCCAGATGGGGTGGTGGCGGGGCAGAGACACTCCTCAGTTCCCAGACGGGGTCGCGGCCGGGCAGAGGTGCTCTTCACATCTCAGACGGGGTGGCGGGGCAGAGGCGCTCCCCACATCCCAGACGATGGGCAGCTGGGCAGAGACGCTCCTCACTTCCTAGACGGGATGTCAGCCGGGAAGAGGCGCTCCTCACTTCCCAGACTGGGCGGCCGGGCAGAGGGGCTCCTCACATCCCAGATGATGGGCGGCCAGGCAGAGACGCTCCTCACTTCCTAGACAGGGTGGCGGCTGGGCAGAGGCTGCAATCTCGGCACTTTGGGAGGCCAAGGCAGGCAGCTGGGAGGTGGAGATTGTAGCGAGCCGAGATCACGCCACTGCACTCCAGCCTGGGCAACATTGAGCACTGAGTGAGCGAGACTCCGTCTGCAATCCGGCACCTTGGGAGGCTGAGGCTGGCAGATCACTCACGGTCAGGAGCTGGAGACCAGCCTGGCCAACACGGCGAAACCCCGTCTCCACCAAAAAATAGGAAAACCAGTCAGGCATGGTGGCACGCGCCTGCAATCCCAGGCACTCGGCAGGCTGAGGCAGGAGAATCAGGCAGGGAGGTTGCAGTGAGCCGAGATGGCGGCAGTACAGTCCAGCCTCGGCTAGGTATCAGAGGGAGAGACCGTGCAAAGGGGAGAGGGGGAGGGAGAGGGGTATTATTATTACTTTTTTTTTTTTTTTGGACAAGATCTGGTTCTGTCACCCAGGCTGTAGTACAGTGGCGCAATCTCGGCTGACTGCAAGCTCCGCCCCTGGGCTCAAGTGATCCTCCCATCTCAGCCTTCCAAGTAGCTGGGACCACAGGCATTCACCACCACCCATGGCTAATTTTTTGTATTTTTAGTAGAGATGGCATTGCCCAGGCTGGTCTCGAACTCCTAAGCTCAAGGAATCTGCCTGCCTCAGCCTCCCAAAGTACTGGGATTATAGGCATGAACCACCATGCCGGCCTATTATTATTTTTAAAAGACAGGGTCTCACCCTGTTGGACAAGCTGGAATGCAGTGGCACTATCATAGCTCACTGCAGCCTCGACCTCCTTGGCTCAAGCGATTCTCCCACCTCAGTATCCTGAGTAGCTGGAAGCATAGCCATGCACCACTACACCTGGCTATTTCTTTATAGTTTTGTGGAGATAGGGTCTCGCTATGTTGCCCAGGCTGGTTTCGAACTCCTGGGCTCAAACAATCCTACCACCTTGGCCTCCCAACGTGCTGGGATTACAGGCATGCACCACTACACCTGTCTGACACAGGGGTAATTTTTCTTGGTGCAGGACTTTGCAGGGCATTTGGCGTCTTGGTCCCTACCCACTCTGTTCTTTTTTTTTTTTTTTAATGCCCACGCTTGGTTAATCCCACCCCATTCTTCTGATGACTGCCCTCTTCCCCTAAGCATTATCACAATAAAAGTACCCTCCCACATTTGAGTCTCACCTTTGGTTAAGGACCGCTGCTCTAAAAAGACAAAACCTGCCTCCACCTCCCTCTGTGTACCCTTTGCTAAAAGCCACAGTTTGTCTTCATCTGAACCAAGCCGCTGAGCACAGGCTGCAGCTGCATTTCACTTAAGCAGCATACCTTGCAGTTGCCCTCGGGAAGCTTTACCTTATTAATTCTAACTCAGCCGTCCATCCCTCCAGAATCATCCTCCTCTCATCATCCTATGTGTCATGACCTTCCCAAGCTTCTCTCCTCCAAGTTATTTTAGTAAAGTTGTTGCTTATGGTGGGCCAGAGCCCTGCAGCTCCCCACTAGGGACCAGCCTCAGACCTGCTTGACCGTGATTGTTCAGGTCACAGAGTGCCACAAATCTGGATCTCGGCCAGCCCTTTGCCAGCTGAGTTGAGCTAAGGCATGAGGTTGTTCGGTCCCGGGGTTAAACAGAGATGAGGTATTTCTGTGCTCGAGGAGCAGCCTCAAGCTAGTTGGGGAAATAAGACTCACTGGGGCCACGTTGGAATCTGGCAGAGCAGGGCAGGACTAGGGTTCATTGACAGGCAGACTGGGCTTTGGGGTTCAGATGGAGGAAGATGGACAGGGCTGACTGTCAGGAGGCTGCCCAGAGGATGGGAGTCTTGAACTTGAAGGACTTCGGCTGGGAGGGGTAGTTGCATTCTATGAATTCAAGCTGGCTTTCCCAAGAAATGTTATGGGCCGAAGAGCCACTGGCCAGCACCCAGTGCCCTGCTGCCTCCATCACCATGGCCTCAGCTCTCTGTAAGTCCAGCAGAATGACCTAGAATGCAAAGCCAGTGGTCTGAGAGCTTGAAGACCAGGCTGGCACTTACTCTTTGGGCCATAAGTGGTCTGTCAGAGAAAGGAAAGCTGTGTGGGCTGGAAGACTCGCTGAGTACTGGTGGCTAACCAGTCGGTTCCGTGGAGCGAGGCTTCCTCGTGGGAGCACAGGGAGGTGGAGGGCCTGCTAGACAACATCCCACACTTTGAATGGCAGAACTGGAAGGAAAATTGGGCCCAGAGTAGGAAAGTGAATTGCCCCAGAACACACAGCCAGTAAAGGGCAGAGGAAGATATTAAACAGCGCACAGGGCTGTGCTATTTAGCTGGTCCTTCAGGGTCAACGAGGTGGTATCTCGTTGTTAACCCAATTTGGAGGGTCTTTTTAGAAGAGGGTCATCTGTTCTGATCCACAGCTCACCTTTTTCCCATTTAATAGCCCGTGTTCCTTCTCCAAGCCCCAGGCTATTCTGAGGACACGTTGTGGTTAGGCAATTGAAAGTTACACAGTCTCTCCTTGCAACCTTTAGGAATTTCACAAAGGATAAATCCCTCATTTCCAGGGAAACTGCAACGGGGTCCAACACCTCATAAGTCCTCAGTGCAATTTCCCAAACAAGACGGAAAGAAAATGGAAGAGAAAGCTGAGCGCTTTCACAATTAGCAAACTGTTTTAGTCCGTCATCCTCCATAATTTTATTGAATGGCTTGGAGGCAGGAAGCTCTTTTTGCCTTTTCATTAAGGCGACATTGAGCTGGAGGTGAGCTTGGGTGAGCTGGGACAGTTGAGATTTGATGCCCGCAGGTATCTGGCTGTTTGAAGGCTCTGGGTCTTTGTCTGAAGGCTCTGAGGACGAACAAATGGGAGAGGATGAGGGAGCCTGGACACTTGCAGCCCCGCCCTGCCCCGAGGGACGGCAGACGCCTGGAGGGTCCCTGGTGACTGTCATATTTGGAGAGCTCGGGTGTCACAATCATGTCTGCTGCAGGCTGCAGAGCTTTGGCACTGCGGCATGAGGCTGTGAGTCAGGGCCTGCTTTCTTCCACACAAATGCTGTGCCTCCCAGCAAGACCCTTGACCTCTTGGCCTCGTGGTTCCCTGCTGATGGGGGACATGGTGCCGCATGAGCAGGATGTCAGGAAAGGGTCAGGCTGCCATAGCCCCGCAGCTATATCTGGGGGTAAGGGTGGTGACGAGGAATACTAATTATCCTCAGTTTGTGGACGTCTGTAGGCTCACTCCCTGTTTTGTCCTCATCACTGGCTGCAGTGGGGCTGCCGTCTATACTCACAGATACCCAGGATACTATACAAGAGAAGGTGGCCAGAGAGGCCTGGCAAGGTCCAGGACCAGTGCCTGGGCAAGTAGGGCACCTTCCAAGTCCCTGCAGTGACCTGGACTTGAAGCCAGTGAAGTCTTTCAACCTCCTTCTTCCAGATTTTTAATGAGTGGTTTAAAAAGCCATTTGTGATTAGCACATTGTCCTTATGCAGATCAGTGTTGCAAAGGTAATTAAAGGCCTAATAAATCTTGTTTATGCTGTTAATTTGATTACAGTCAAAACTCGCTAGGGCTGGGGAAGCCTCCAAGATTGAGAGGTGCCTTCCTCCTTCTTATAGGTGCGGGATTTATGAACCCCAACAGAGAGGCTTCTGGGCGGGAGGGCCCCTGGCATCCCCTGAGTATAGCAGGTCGGGGAACAGGCCCTGGAGCCAGGCTGCTGGGCCTTGAGTTTCAGCTGGGCCATATTCTAGCTGGGTAACTGGCCAGTTACTTACCCTCCTTGTGCCTCGGTTTCCTCATCTGTAGAAGGGGAGTGACAACAGTGGCAGGAGTGGTGTGCTTGTCGCCAAGCCTGGCACACTGGGAGCCCATGGACCAGTCATTATTCCCCTGATCCTCAGCCAGGTGCCATCAAATTCTTAAGTGCTTATTCATGGCCAAACAAGAAAGAAGGGGGCAATCAAAACCAGCCACATCACACCATCTCCACAGCTGCCATTTTTAGCTCGGTTTTGCATAGCTTCACCAAAGCTCAGTTTATGTTAGGGCTTTGTTGCCCCAAGAACATTTTAAAAACAAAAAAAGAAGGAAAGGGGAGAATTGAAAGACCCATAAATCCCTGCACCATCAGTTCCAGATGGCCAAGATGCAAAGGATTTTTTCCTTTCCTCCTTCCTACTGAAAAAGTTTTAACACCCTCTAATATGCAGTTAGCTGCACAAGTTCCTAAGTTTCACCGCAGGGAGGGAAGGAAGTAGGCCCCAGTAATTGTGATGATGGAGAACACTGTTAATGGTTCCCCTAAATTAAACAGGGTGGGAGCTTCAGCTCCTCACTGGCTTGGCATTTCATTAGCAGTAACACTACAGCCTTGCACGGAGACGGGACCAGTATGGCTGGATCAGGGAAATTAATTAGAGTCTGACAATACCCTTAATGGAAATTGGTTATTTCTCCCAAATAAAGCAGCTATTACAAGTGCAAGGGAAGAAATAACTCAGCCCTCCCCCCGCGTTCCTTTCATGAATGTGTGTGTAGATGCTGCCATAGCGGGTGCACAGGAGCCAGGAATCATCACTGCCTTATCCCAGGCCTTGCTCATTTTCTCACATTCAGCAAAACCTCGATCATTGCCCGTGGAGCTGGCACAGACATGTAAACTGTCTACTGTGACTGCAGTGCAGAGAGCTCTCTATAAAATACGTGAAAAAAGTGCTGAGGGAACAGAGGAAAGTGTCCTTGGTTCTGCTTAGGAGGGTCCTTAAAGGGAGTATGCAGGCTGGGCTTTGAAGTATGGATAGAAGTTTGCTGGCTGGTGAAGGGAAGGCAGAAGAAAAATGAAGAAAGTCTCAGAGGCTTGAGAAGCACATTTTTTCTAGTTGACAGGTAGGAATGAAAACGGCTCCTCCCATTGGTAGCATATTTGAAAAATTCCTAGGCCACTTTCATTGTATCCTGAAGTAAACAGGGGTAGCTGTGTATGGCTGGTTGGAGGACTGGAGAGAAAGGTGTAAGTACAGTTGAGCAGGGTCTTTCTACCAGGTTCTGTGCTAAACTTTACTTTTTTCTCATGTTTCTTAGGAAAGTGTTAGTCCCACTTTACAGATGAGAAAGTTGAGGCTGACTGAAAGTAACATGTCCAAGGCCACAGAAAGCTTCAGTGGCAGAGCCAGGGTTTGACCCGGAAGACTGTAACTCCAGAGCCCACATAGGGAACCTCTCTCCTGCTGGGCCTCCCTCTGTCGGCTGAATATTAACCTCAAAAAGGGGTCCCTGAATCTTTGCCAACACGGCCAGTACAAGCTAAAGCAGACGATTTAGTGTATAAAGAAATTCTTTCCTGGAAGACTATTTGGGTTTTCTCTGCAGCTGGGCTTTGAGGCCCATCTTTACATTTCCCCTGTCCCTTCGTGCTAGGCGACTTCCCCAAGAACCCCCAGGAAGATGCAGCCCTTCTTGGAATTCTTGTGGCTTCTAGGTGGCCTCTGCAGTGTGCTCCCTTGCCTCGTGGCCATCTCTGGAGAGGGGAGCGTTGCCTTGCTGGATCCTAAGTTCCTAAGACAGTGGTGAGCCTGATACGGTCTGGTGACCCGGCAGCCTTGCCCTTGATTGGCTCTGCTACCTCTGTGAGCCCCAGCTTCTAAGATGGGCATCTGTTGGGCCCACTTAATGGGGCACTGAATGAGTTCTTAGGTGAAGGCCACTTCACAAAATTCCTTGCATCTAGAAGTCACTCAGTAAATCAGAACAACAGTAACAGCGGCAGCCAGCAGTTTCAGGGTGTCCAAGGTGTGCGGGACTCTGGGCCTCATACATGTTAGGCACTTACACTTAACCCTCACGGCAGCCTTCGAAGGGAGGGGCTGAATCAGCCCCATTTCATAGATGAGGTTGCTGAGGCATACAGAGAGTGAGCAGTGGTTTCATCGCTTCCCTCTGTGTCCTTCTCTCACTTTCTGGGCCCCAGTGGCCATGTGGCCACAGACACACTGTGTAGGTGGTCGGTCATCAGGCTTAACGAAATGGACATATTCATTTTCAGCATCACTCCAAGGGTGAGTGCAGAGAGGTGGTTTCTCCCTGGCACATTTTTTTGTTTAGCAAAGGTTTCCTGAGCCCTATTGGTGTGTGAAGACATCATGCTTGGCTCAGGGAGCCCAAGAAATCAGTGACAGCTCCTGAGGCAGAAGGGAGAAGGCAGAGGGTTCTCACTCTTGCCAGGAATGCGAAGAGCCAGTGGAGTTCAGTACCTTCTGCAAGGGCTTCCCGGAGGAGGTGGCCTTTGGAAGAGCCTGGAAAGGATGAATGGCATTTTCAAGGTGGGATGGAACTTGCCAGCCTGAGAAGAGGCACAGAGGCCCCTGTATTAGGGAGCAGTTGGCAAATGGAACCGTTGCTGCTGACATTGCAGATGGCTTCTGGCCTTGGTGCTTCTGTGGGTGGAGCAGGATTGTTGGGGCCGTTTTGGCTGGACAGGACTGTGGCTGGGAGCAGCTTATGGTGTGATACTGGGCAGGCCATGCTGGATTAGGGTTGTACAGAGTGGGACAGAATTATTAAAAAATGCCAAGCACCTGTGACCAGGTGAAGCAAGTCTGCAGGTTAAACTGTGCTCGTCGGAGAGAAGAAGGGCTCTCAGGCACCCTCCAGACCCTCCTCCCATCCCAGCCAGGCCATGCCTTTCTGGTAGCAGCCCAGGGGTCTGCTTGGTCCTTCATCCTTGGGAACAGGGACCAGGCATTCCCCCGGTGGTGGTATCTTGAGTCTAGGCAGTGGCGTCACATCAGCAGGGCTGCTGTGGGGGCCTGCGGGGGCGAGAGCCTTCTCTGCGACAGCAGGAGCCCGTCTCCCCCAGAATGAGATGAGTCACGGTCCTGTCGGTGCGGCTGCCACTTCTGCTTCTGCAGCAGGTGCGTGTGGAGGCAAGCTAGTCCTGAGACTGCCCCACACGCTGTGCCTGTCTCTTCCCCAGTGCACGGGCAGCATGCCAGCAGGGCCTCGCGTGTGTGCACGGATGTGTCCTCCATATGCCTGCGTGCATCTTTGCTCTGGGGCGGCAAACCTTCCAGCCAGGCAGTGGGATGGCCAGTTTGGGAACGTTGGTTAGCTTTGCTTCTCACCAAGTTTGGGGCAGAGGGGACAAAACAGGAAGGAGCTGGTTTCCGCCCACAAGGCTCACCCACGGAGCTGCAGGGCAGTTGGGAGCTTGTTCGTGGGCCTGTGTAGCGTCCTGGGCTGAGGTGATGAGGCAGCAGTTGCCCACTCCCTGGCCACAGGCAGGGCCCTGCCGGCCCCTGGGGCCTCCCATGGGGGTTCATTTCCTGAGCCTGGCCAGGCATGTTCTCAAAGGATAGGAACTTCCGTCTCAAGGCCATCAGCCTGGAGGGTTGGTGGGAACTTGTGGGGCAGAAGTTCTGGGGCGAGAAGCCACTCAGGCTTGGGTTTTGTTCAGATGTAGGGGACCCCCTCTGGTCATCCAGCACACCTAGGACATGGGCCTTGAGGACAGCAGGTGTCCAGGGGATCTCCTCTTTGTTTTGTAAAAGCGTGACCTGTAGAGCCTCCCTGTGAGACTCTGGTGTGCCAGTCTGGAACCAGGTGGTGTGCCGGGTCCCCAGTGACCTCCCTGGGAGACAGAGGCTGTTCCAGCCCAGCCTTCCTGAGGAGCAGGCTCATGGCTACTTTCCTGTGTTTCTCTGCACTGCCCACTCCCTCTGGGCTCCCAGTCTCCAATCCGCCACCTGGAGAGCAGAGTCTGTCGCTATCTGTCACCTTTGGCCCAAGCATCTGGATCTTCAACAAGCCACTACCCATCATTGTGCCTGGCCAACTGAGTGCCCTGAGTACAGCTCCTCTACTCCAAATGCGAGTCCTGCAGTTTCCCCAGAAATCACGAGCAGCGCTCAGTTGGGAAAGCCCTTTGACTGCATTCTCCTCTTTGAGCCACATCAGATTTAGGCTGCTGAACCTGTGTTCAAACCTATTTGACCAAGATCCACGATAAATACACATACGACACCTTGACCCAAGGTGCACATGTATTTGTGTATAAAACCAAGACAGAAGCTCAAGGACTAATCTTCATCTTTATTGTGTGCTCACACTCCATCACTTTCTAGTTGATGCTTTTTTCTCCCCTGCTGGTTGGATGTCATCACCTGCTCAGATTCTGTAACCCACAGTTGGAAAACACAGAGTAGAGTGGGGAGGTATCATCTGATGCCCATTTTACAGATGAGGAGATTGAGTGAGGAAACTTGCACCAGGGTCCTAAGCACAAAAGTCTCTGCCGTCACAGAGCTGTTCTAGAGGCAGACAGACAATAATCAAAAAAATATATAATTAGGACAGTGGTGGAGTGCTATGAAAAAAATTCCAGTGCCAGGGTGAGGGGGCAGGCAGTGTCGGGTAGGAGCTGCTTTTTTATACGAGGAGGGCGGGGGAGGCCCCTCCAGCGATCTCAGACAGGAAGAAAGCGAGGGGCTGGCCAGGCTGAGAAATCTAGGGCAGAGGGTATCCAGGCAGGGGAGGGGCAAGTATGAGCAGACAGTGGTGTGGTCCTGCCCTCCAGGCTGGTCGCCTCTGCAGGAGCCCGTCAGACTTGACCAGCATTGCCAAGAGCTCAGCCGGGCAAGGCACAGAGCACAAGACTTGGCTGCCCTGATCTCCGCTGCCTGCGGGTCATGCAGCCCTCCGCCTCCCTCTGGGAAGTCCTCACCTCTGGGCTGGGCTCCTTGCATCCCCAGAGGTGCCTCCTCAGCACCTCCATCCCCAGTTGCCCTGGCTGCTAGGGTTGGACTGGCCACTCAGCTAGGGTACAAGTCTGCCAGGTGTGACTGAGAACCTTTGCCATTTGCTGTCTCCTGTGACTAAGACAGACACAAGCCAGACAGAGGCATGAGGCTCTTTCCTGTTGCCCGGCCCTTCTCCCAATTTCCCTCCCCCAACACACATACGCACACACACATACACACACACACACCCTGTGCCCTGGGTAGAGGCAGTGGCACAGCTGTGGGCGCTTTGCTTTTCTGCTCTTCCTGGTTCCACATCTAGAATTTTGTGACTTGGTGAGGGGGTGGTGCCAGAGAGCCAGTGCCGGCTCTGGTGGGAGAGGCAGCTTCATCCCCAGCCTCCTGGGGGCTGGCACCCTGGCAGGTCTTCATGCCCTGCCCCTTCGCTGGGATCTGCTGGCCTCACTCTTGTGCACCCCAGCAGTCGGTAGGAAGCATCACTGGACACTCACTGTAGACCTAAGCACAAGAGGTGGGGCTGAAGGCTAACTCCTTGCTTCTGATACGTGAGAGCTCCTTGGGGAGATGTCCACAAACGTGGTGGGTACTGCTGGACCTGGTGAGGGGAGGAGGGGAAATATGGTCCGGGTTGGTAGAGAGGAGGCAGTGTTTAGGGGCAGGGGCAGCTCCACGAGAGGACAGAGCCAAAGCGGGGTGAGGGAATGGTGGGGTCCGCCAGAGGAGTAAGTCATTCTTAAGTGTGTGTTTGGACTCTGCCTTATAAATGCTGGAAGCCACCAAAGGTCTTTGATTGTGCCAGGCATCTTAGGTGTTTGAGGGAGATTAGCTTGGGGAAAATGTACATGAGAGATCGGGGTGGGGGCAGGAGAGGGTGTGCAGCAGGTAGGCCTGTACCCACATTGCTGGGGGCTGGGAAGGAAGGGTGCCGGAAGAAAGCCTGCATTCCCATGGCCCAGGCAGCCAGGCTGCTGTGAAGGGCTGGGAGGTAGAGGGAAGGGCTGACACCCTCAGACTCGGACCCTTCCAGCCTGTACTGAGAAGGGACCAAGCAGTTCCAAGGGTAAGGTGGTTTGGGGGAGCCCAGGCTCTTCCTAAAGGGCAACGTGGAGTCAGAGCCCGGGTGAAGGAGGAGCTCAGATTGGGCCTCAGGTCACACCACTTCATCAGTTGCATGACCTGTGGACTCGGGGATACAGGGAGACACACAGCCATGGAAGTAGCTCTCTGCAGTGATCGGGGGAAAGGTGGCCACTTCTGAACAGCCTGTCACCATGCAGGGCACACTGTTGTGCACTGGGCACTGAGACAGGCCTGGGGGGTCCAGTACCGACTCGGATGGGGGTTACCTTGGACTGACTGGGAGCTGCGGTCACTTGGTGGGGTGATGGGCATGGCCTGTCTTGAGTCTGTGCCTGCCAGGCCCTGAAGATCTCCCTCTGTCTCCCTCTGCAGTGATGGGTCGTTCCCCTATGACTCTGTCCCTTGGCAGCAGAACACCAACCAGCCTCCCGGCTCCCTTTCCGTGGTCACCACGGTTTGGGGAGTAACCAACACATCCCAGAGCCAGGTAAGAGCCTATACTGCCCTCAGCCACAGCTCTTTCTAGGCGGGAGTGTCCCTTGACCCCTGGAGCCATACCAGCCCTCTTCACCCTCACAGGCCTTGCCCTGCTGGAAAGACCAGCTTCCAGGGCACACCCAGCTGTGGACACGTCTCCACCCCTGGCAGGCTCTGCACCCGCCTCAGGAGGGCAGCCTCTATGGACTGTCCCCATCCTAAGGCCTTTCTGGAGGAATGGCATTCATCTGACAGACAGCAAGGGGTTCTTCCCTAGCCCATTTGCTCTGGTAAACAGGAGAACTTCCTCTGTGTTACTGGCTTCAGGGCTCCAAGGTCTGAGGTCTCTGACCCTGGATGTATGGCCTGAGTTGGATTTCATCAAAATATTGTGCCTTGGACTTCTGACAACTCCCTACTCCCCATTGCCCTAGTCAGACCCACCTCCCTCTCATTCCTTCCTCTCTCTTCCACTCCTCCTCTGCCCAGTCAGGGAGTCTCCCACCTGTCTGACCTCTGCCAGCCTTTTCTGTGGCTACATGGAAGGCTCAGGGCTGCTTGTCACCCTGGAGGGAGCCACTGGGCTGACCGGTTGTCGCCTGCTCCTGCTGCCCTCCAGAGCTAGCAGGGTGGGTTCCTCTTGGCCCTCACAGAGCAGCAGCCAGGGGCCTTGGGGCCCCTGTGTGACAAGACGCTGGCATCCAGGCTCGTTTGTGGGGCAGTAGGCTTCATGGCCAGGGCTCTCCCCACGGGTACCTGGTACAAGAGCAGCCTCTTCTCCCTTCACTGGGCTGCGCAGCCCCTGGGGACCGCTTGAACTGGCTTTGTGGGGCTTGGTCATACCCTCAGCTTGTTCCATCACAAGGCTGACGTTCTCATCCCCCACGCCACCTGCCGCCCAGGCCCGCTCCTTATCACCGGTACACTCAGAATAGTTCATCCACCCTCCATTTTTTTCCTCCTCCCTGTTGTCCTGCCTCCACTTTGTTCTTTCTCCCTTTCCCCTCTTCATTTATCCCTCTTCCTCTCCACACTGCCTCGGGTAGCACCTTAGGTGACAACCACTTCTCTGCCCACAGGTCCTTGGGAACCCTATGGCCAATGCCAACAACCCCATGAATCCAGGCGGCAACCCCATGGCGTCGGGCATGACCACCAGCAACCCAGGCCTCAACTCCCCACAGTTTGCGGGGCAGCAGCAGCAGTTCTCAGCCAAGGCTGGCCCCGCTCAGCCCTACATCCAGCAGAGCATGTATGGCCGGCCCAACTACCCCGGCAGCGGGGGCTTTGGGGCCAGGTGAGCAGGGCTGACCTGTGGCAGAAGCCATGGACGCCACCCCTCTTCCTCCTTCCAGTGGGGAGGGACCCACTTAAATCCCAGCTCCACGCTTTCTGCCCTGAGAAGTTATCCTCTGTTGTTACATGAGTTGAAGGGGCTCAGTCATCCCTGGCTCCCAGGGCTGGCCTGCAGATAAGGCGCTGCAGCAGTTGGCCTGTGTTCTGACAGTCGTCAGACTCGTAGAAATAGAGAGGTGACATTCTTACTCCTCAAAACCTCAAAACAACCCTTCTCTAAATTTTGTCTTTAATGAATAGGAAAATATTGAGAAAATCTGGATTGGGAAAGTCGAAGAGCAGGTATAGATGGGGTCCAGTTGCCCAAAGACAGTGAAGCAGTCTGGGAATATCTGCTCTGCCTTGCTGATTGGTGAAAGCAGAACTATGCAGAGACTGCGAGTCCCTTGGCTGGGAAGAAAAGGGCAGGGACTCCCAGGATATGGAGCTCTGGGGAGTGGTGTGAGGCGAGCAGAGGTGCCCATTCTCCTCTTTCCACCCCGCCCTGCCTAAGACCCCCACCTTGGCCTCAGCCCTCACCAGCCCTGGCTGGGTTTCTGGCCTGGGGTTGGCACAGCTATATGACCTGGTGGTTAAACACAGGGATCAGAAACACCTGCAGCTGCAGCCGCAGCTCCGCCATCAATGCTGCAGGGCCTTGGGCAAGTTGCTCAGGTTCTCTGAGACTCAGTGTCCTTCAGAAGATGGGCTCACCAGGGCCCCGACAGCATGCAGTGAGGGTGCAGGCACCCCCAAGGGCTCCAGGAGCACAGCAGCCTGGTCGTTGCCAAGTGGCACAAATGAATGGCTGCCAATCCCAAGAGGCCCCGTCCCCTCTAGGTTCTGGGTACAGCTCCATCATCTCCCTTCCAGCCCACAGCTTGCCCTCAGTTCCCCTCAGATGCAGGCAGTACCTAACTCTTCCACCCTTCTCCCCCTGCAGTTACCCTGGGGGTCCTAACGCCCCCGCAGGCATGGGCATCCCTCCGCACACCAGGCCGCCTGCTGACTTCACTCAGCCCGCGGCAGCCGCTGCAGCAGCGGCAGTGGCAGCAGCAGCAGCCACAGCTACAGCCACAGCCACGGCCACTGTGGCAGCCCTGCAGGAGACACAGAACAAGGATATAAACCAGTATGGACCGGTAAGGGTTCCCACTAATCCTGGTCCAGCCTTGCCCAGCCAGCCAGGCAGACAGCCCTGGGAAACCAGAGTTGGGATGTCAGTGCTTATGGGGCCATGTGTGCTGGGAGAGCTGACTGCATTAGGGTGCATTTGGGCTTTCATGGAAGCATGTGGAGGTCTGTGTGTTTAGAATGGCGCATGTCTAGAATGGGGCGTGTCAGTGTGCTTGGGTGTGGTGGGGTGTATGGGTGCTGGTGTTTGTTCTGTGTGTTGGTGGCTCATGTACAACTGCATATGGGGAAAAGGTTCTACATGGCTCTCTGGGCCCCCAACTCACCAAGGAGTGGGCTCAATGTCTAAAAATAGTCTTGTGACCGGTCTGTCTCCTGGATTGCCTCTGAGACCAGTGCCCTCCTAGTCACCCTATCTGTGGGTCTGCGCAGGCCCCAGTGCTGCTCCCTGACCTTCTGAAGGATGGGTTAGGGGATGAGGAGAGGGGAGCCCCCATAGGAATGCAGAACAGGAGGTGAGGAGGTGGGAACTGCAGGGCAGAGGGGCAGAAGTGGAAGCTGGGCTGAGGCCAACTTTGGGGATGGAGGGTGTGCCTCCACTGGCCCAGGACCAAGGGCAGGGCCAGGGCTTCCAGGAAAGGGGCTGCAGTCTCACTCGGGCTCCTGCCTCCACCCTCATCTACCTCCACCCTCCCATACCCCTCCCTGTCCCTGCACACTTTCCTGGTTTTCTGCCTGCCTCCCTCCCTGGAAATGCTGCCTGTGCATCGGAGTGACCACCTCACCCCACCCCACCCCATCCCCTAACACCCCTGAGCTGCATCTCTCCTGTGCGGCTGCAGAGGGCAGCAGTGAGCCTGGGTGGATCCTGCTCCCCTGGGGCCTGGTTGGTCACCAGTCACTGCCGCACAGGACAGTGCCCCCTCCCCACTCCTCCACCTCCCCAACCCTTCCCTCCCTGCACTTTCAATGCATGTGGCATTTTATTCTTTTTTTTTTCTTCTCCCGTTGAAGGTCTGTTCCTCTTTCCAGATGGGTCCCACCCAGGCGTATAACAGCCAATTCATGAACCAGCCCGGGCCGCGGGGGCCTGCCTCCATGGGGGGCAGCATGAACCCCGCGAGCATGGCGGCTGGCATGACGCCCTCGGGGATGAGCGGCCCTCCCATGGGCATGAACCAGCCCCGGCCGCCCGGCATCAGCCCCTTTGGCACACACGGGCAGCGGATGCCCCAGCAGACCTACCCGGGCCCCCGGCCCCAGTCCCTTCCTATTCAGAACATAAAGAGGCCATACCCTGGAGAGGTGAGTGCAGCAGTGGGAGCCTGGGAGGTGGGAACTGGGACACCTGGGCTTGAAGACATGGGCCGTGGGTACGGCTTTGGAAGGGGTGTGGCTTGGACTCCAGCACACTTGGACAAAGAGGCAGGGGCTTAGGGGTCAGGTGCTCCTGGGTTTGAGACCTGGTTCTGCTGTTTCCCAACTGAAAGACCTCGAGCCAGTCACCCTGCCTCCTAGGGCTGCTTGAGGGACTTGAGGAGGTGTCCGTGAAGTGCTTGGCCCTGGGCTGGCATGTGCCGCCACTCAGCAAGCAGCAGTTCCTCTTACTGTAGTGACTCTTGTCTTGGCTCAGCCACTAACTGGGTGACCTGGGTTTAGTTCCTCCTGCCCACATGAGAGCTTCCCCAACTCCTCTCCAAGAAAGAGAGCTGAGACAAAATGCTTCCAGTCTATAAGGGCTGACCCGTCCGGGAAGTGACTGGAAGGCAGGCAGCGTGTTTCCAGTCTGTAAGGATTGACCTGTTGGGGAAGTGACTGGAAGGCAGAGAGCGTGTTTCCAATCTATAAGGACTGACCCGTTGGGGAAGTGACTGGAAGGCCGGCAGCTGTTTCCAGTCTATAAGGACTGACCCGTCAGGGAAGTGACTGGAAGGCAGACAGCGTGTTTCTTAGCTCTTGTTTCCATCCACACTTGGTCACTGTATAGGAAGTGGCACTGCCTCTTGGGCTGCACAGCCAGCTCAGCCAAGGTGTTGGGGAAGATTTGGGGAAGTAAAACCCACACCTCCTGCCCTCTGGGAAGTGAGGTTTTAGCAGGAAAGAAAAGTTTTTAGCAGAGACTCACCAGGGAATGAAGCATAGCAGACTGCACAGAACTCAATATGAGTCAGAGAAGGCAGGCTTCCTGGAGGGTGTGTCACAAGTAAATCCTCAGAAAATGATGCTGGCAGCAGCTGGCCCATCTGGGTACCCAGGTAAGGATTTAGTTTACCTGCAGAAGACGTAGGGACGTGGCTCTGCAGATGCCCCTCGTGAAGCCCTGGTTGCTCCCCACGACCAAGCCCCTTTTTGAGCAGGGTGTGCCCAGCTCTCTGCCTGCCTCCCTCCCAGCTTGCATGCCCACTCTCAGAGCAGTTTTCTCCTCCTAGCTCCTCTCAGCTCTGTGGCCTTCACCTTGGGTTCACAGCGGCTTTAGATTCCAAAGACCTTAAGTTCCTTGAAGATCTGCACATTTCCCCTCAGTATCCACCTTAGGATGGGCGGGGAGGCTTGGCAACAAGTGGAGGTATTCTGAGTTCAGGAGGGGAGAGAGAGGGGGGGGGGTCAGGGGCTTCCTCATGCATCCAAGAAGCTGGATCAAGCCCCAACCCTCCACCTGGTGGACACTAGTTCAGGGAGGGGCCAGAGAAGGACCATTGGCTCCTGGGTCCTGAGTTTGGGGGAGCCTCAAGCTATTGGCACCTCTCCTGGCACTCAGGCCCCATGCAGTTTCTAGGCCTTTTCTCAGCCACCCTGTGCTCAAAATCCCAGTGTCCCACTGGCTGTGCTGGGGGTGCATCTGTTAGCCCACGCCAAAGGAGGCAATCTCGGATGAGGCTTCAGCAGAATTCCTGGTCATTGGTGTCACCCCTGCACCTGCACCTGTGCCATGCTTATGGCTCTTGCCTGCCTAAAGAGAGCACACCAAAGGCTCTCCATATTTTTACTAAATTAATCATCCTTTTCATAGAGTGCTGCTGCTACCCAGCTACAGCACTGGGTGGTCACAGCCTATGCGGCCTGATCCTGTCTGGAAGACTGGCCTTCCTTCCCCTTGCCATGGCTTGTTCATACAATATTTGAATTGTTGGAGCCTTAGGACAGGGGTTGGGTCATCTGGTCCCACAGAGGACTCTCTTCTCTAGCTTGGTGGGCAGGTAGGCACCAGCTACGTCTTCTATACCTCCTGTGGTGGGTGCCTCACTGTCACCCAGAGCAGCCACCATGTTGCAACAACGTGAGTTGTAGATTCTTCCACACTGACACTTTCTGACATTTATCCCTAAGTCCATCATTCGTTTGTTGAGCAAGTATTAAGGGTATTTTCCCAGGCACTGGGGCACAGCCACCAACAGGACCTCTGGGCAAGAGAGACACTCAGATGGGGAAGAAGAAACCACTGACTCACAGGATGTCATGTGGCCGTGAGGGTCACCTGATTTTCCAGACAGGGAAGGTGGCTGGAGGGTGGTGCTCTCTCCTCTTCTCTAAATTGTCTGTCCCGGGAGAAGTTGTCTTGTTCCTTCACCAACCTGGCTCTCCCACCTCCTGCACAGGTGGCAGGTTGTCGATGGCCCAGAACTGAACACTAGGTGTGTGTTCTGCTCTGAGGGGAGTACGAGGACAATGCCACCCAAGTTCAGCCTTGGAATGCAGGGGCACAGGGGGCTCCTTTCTGGAATTGCATCCTGTTGACTGTGTTCCTCTGTCACATTGGGGTACACATTGGGGAGCACAGCCCTAACCCAGGCACCAGGAGAGACACAAAGGTCGGGGGAGTTAGAATCAGGCCCCTCATAATGGTGTGAGCAAGAGGCTCTGAAAGTGTCCCTGGAGTTCAGGGGCACATGTGCTCCAGGAAGAACGGCCTCAAGGGGAGGTGGCCTATGATCTGGACAGGCAGAACAAAATGCCCCTGGATGTCAGGACGAGAAGGGGCCCAAAGCATTATCTGGTTTTGTGGGTGGGAAACAGCAGGAGCAAATGAGGAGAGGCGGGCCCCATCCCGTTGTTCAGGTGACCTGGCTATGTGACGTTGGCAACATTGAACGTGTTTCCCCTCTCCTTTCTCTCCCACCACAGCCCAACTATGGAAACCAGCAATATGGACCAAACAGCCAGTTCCCCACCCAGCCAGGCCAGTACCCAGCCCCCAACCCCCCGAGGCCACTCACCTCCCCCAACTACCCAGGACAGAGGATGCCCAGCCAGCCGAGCTCCGGGCAGTACCCGCCCCCCACGGTCAACATGGGGCAGTATTACAAGGTGAGTCCCAGCCTCGCCACCACCCACGGGGCCCCTTCCCTCCTAACCACCTCACTCCCCTAACTCCACCGGGATCACTCTGACCCTGCGTGTGTTTGCCCCAAGGACAGCGAGGGGTGGGTGATTTCTGAACGTCCCCATGTGTTCAGGGCGAAGTTCGGTGGCCAGAATGTCAGAGTGGCTTTTCTCAGTTCCTATTCTCATTCGTCTCGGATGATGGTTTTTTTTTCTCCTTTTCTTATTCACGGCACTCACAAAATAATAAAGGAAATATATTTTATTAAAAAAACACACATCCCCTGTATATATTAACATTTCATTCTAAACTTTGTATGTGCAGGTGGGCACTAACATGTTATAAAATTGTTATTACAGCTGTAACTTTGAATCTGTACCTTTTACTTAACATGACATAATAAGGATGATACTTACTGCTACTAGAGCCCCTGGGGTTTTTACTTTTAATGGCTGCCTAATATTCTGCTGAGATCACCATATCATATTTTATTATTCCTTCTGTTAGGTATTTGGGTTGCTTCTGATTTTTCACTTTAGAAATAACACTATGATGAGTATCTTCAGGCATATAGCCTTTCCTTTCCTTAGGATTATTTTCTTGGGAGTAAAGAAGACACTTTATTATTTTACATTTATTTGCCAAAAATCATGCTAATTTATTATGGCCATCTACCAAACAGGTTTACCGTTTTTGCTCCAACTTCAGCATACTAGGTGTTGCTATTTTTGTAACTTCTGCTAAATTAATAGCTAGGGACAGAGAGAGGCAAAATGCCGTCCCTGAGGTGTAGCTGTCCCGCCCTGCTCACTCAATATACCCAGCAGTGGATGGGCCCCTGTAGCATCCCCGTGCTCCTGGTAGATTTTACTGTCCAGAGGGAGAGCGGGCTTCTGATGGCTTTTCTGCCCCCCACTCAGTGTTGTTTATCTTGTTTTAATAGCCAGAACAGTTTAATGGACAAAATAACACGTTCTCGGGAAGCAGCTACAGTAACTACAGCCAAGGGAATGTCAACAGGGTATGTTCCAATTTAATTTACAAATTCTAAGCCACAGGGAGTTGTTGCCTCTAAAGGTTCTCACTGTTCCTGCTCCAGCCTCTCTGGACATTCAAAGGGGCCCATGGGTGGGGGTGCACTCCCTGGTCCCCTGTCCTGGGGACAGAGATGCTCAGGACTGAGAATCCACGGCTCCAGGTGGGGTGAGCCCCAGGGTAAAGTGTCAGCCTGGCTAGTCTTGAAAACAAGGAGAGGGAGAGGGGTTCCTGGGGAACCTGGGCCCCAGATTCTGCAGGCCCCGACTCCACCTGGGGACCCTGATGGGGTAGGCATAGAGGGTGTGGCCTTGAGTCGTGATGTGGGAAGCCCACCTGCTCGGGTGACAGGAGGCCTGGGCTTCATTCCCGCTGTCCTGTCCTCCAAGGGTTGTGCTGAGCAAGTCCCCAACCCTGAGCCTCTGTGTCCCCATTTATCACAGGGATGGGTAAGGGTCTCCACAGGCACCTGACACAGGAGCTCAGTGGTGAGACCCAGATGAAGGGTGGGGAGGCCCTTCCCAGGGCTGTCTTCTGAGCAGGACAGAGATCTGCGAGAGAGAAGAGTTTCCCTGGAGGAGGCTCTCCTCCCGAGGGGCATGGCTCCAGGCCCCTGGGATGAGTGCGGTGTATGTCCATAGCCATGGCCCCTTCTGTCTCCGTAATCCCATAACTCGTGCGTGTCTTTTCTTTCCCTCCAGCCTCCCAGGCCGGTTCCTGTGGCAAATTACCCCCACTCACCTGTTCCAGGGAACCCCACACCCCCCATGACCCCTGGGAGCAGCATCCCTCCATACCTGTCCCCCAGCCAAGACGTCAAACCACCCTTCCCGCCTGACATCAAGCCAAATATGAGCGCTCTGCCACCACCCCCAGGTGAGGGCCCTCCCTCCCTCTCTTGGCAGCTCCACCTGGGCCCCCCAGTGGGCCGGGAGCAGGGGCTTCGCAGTCAGGCTGCCTGGGGAGTGGGCATCAGAAGGGGCAGAGAGTTGAGAGCAGGTGAGATACCCAGGGGCACACTCAAGGCGGGGTAGGCAGCTCACAGACAGCCTTTCTTACTGCTGCCTGGGCGCCTGGAGGCTGGGAGGAAAATCTATACGCAGCCATGGAAGGATGCAAGGAGGCGGGTGGAAGAAGAGGGGATGAGTCGCTGGGGCGGGGCCGTGTAGAATCGAAGAAGCCATGACTCACTGGTGTGCCCTTGGACTGGCTATGTCTCTGGCCCTGTTTACACACCCCTGCCTTCCTCTGAGCATGCAGCCCAGGGTGAGCAAGTCCCACCTACAGCCCCAGAACCCATGGCAGCTGAGGCTTGTGGCTCACCCACCTCCTCTCCTCGCCCCAGCCAACCACAATGACGAGCTGCGGCTCACATTCCCTGTGCGGGATGGCGTGGTGCTGGAGCCCTTCCGCCTGGAGCACAACCTGGCGGTCAGCAACCATGTGTTCCACCTGCGGCCCACGGTCCACCAGACGCTGATGTGGAGGTGCGTGTCAGGGCAGGGGCGCCAGCCCAGGCGGGATGAAGGAGGTCCCCTGGGATGGCTTCCTTGGGCCCGAGTGGGGCCCTGGGCAGGGGGTAGCAGCATCTTCTGACACCTTCACGTGTTCAGCATCATTGACTGGGCCCTGTCCTGCGGTTGTCATGGGAAGTCTGCAGGTGCACAGGTAGATGAGCAGTCAAGGTGTCGTGGCCCAAGGGCAGGGAGCAGCTGTCACTCACCCCAGAGGAAAAGGTGGCTGGCTCAGACCTAGGCTGGGAAGCTGTGTATCCCATCTGAGACCGTGAGCTGACAAGAGGGAACGCAGTCAAGAATTCGAGTGTGACTCATGTGGCCAGAGCCAGGAATGCAGAGATGAGGCTGGTGCAAGGGCCAGGCCGGGGTCAGGCAGGCCCCATCTATTGCAGGGGGCTGACCATTGGGCAGGGCTGCTGCTCAGACACTTAGGCACGTGCTGGAACACAAGGTCCGGAGGTTCCCTGCTGAGCCAGGCCCATGCTCAGCACCTTCCACGTGTGACCCACTTTGATCTTGGAAATGGGCAACACTTTCCCTTTTGACAGAGGAGGAAGCTGAGGCTAGAGAAGTGAATTGGCTTGTGTGAGTTCTCACAGCTAGCCAGGGGCGGAGCTGAGACTTGGGCCCAGGTCTCCAGGATGCCAGAACCAACCCTGGGGGTGTCCACCCTTCAGTCCTTCATCCTCAGTCAAGACTCACAGTCTCACTGTGCTTGTGACTCAGACCCCCTTGACTGCCCAGTGAGCATCTCCAGCGCAAGAGCTGGGTCTGTGCCTGGCACATGCACACACACCCCTGCTGTTTTCTTGACCATGCTGAGCAGGCTGGGTGAGGTGGCCACAGATAGCTGGTGTGGGCGTTCAGAACACAGGAGCTGCAACGCTCAGGCAGGAGGACAGAGGTCCCTGGCACGGGACAAACCACTGTGCTGCCTGCCTGCACCCTGCTCACCCACGCTCCTTAGCTGGGAGTGTCCTGGCCTGGGAGGCCTCCTCTTCCTGGCTTGCTTGTCACACATATATGGTCACTGCTGGTTCCTGACACTCCTCAGTGCTGCGTCCTTGGGGGGCCTCCTTGGGGAGTGCTCAGAACCAGAAATGGCCGTGGCCTGGGAGGACAGCTCCCAGCAGGTCTAGAGATGGGGTTGGCTGGCCTCACAGCAGGTCTTGTCAAATGAGTGCCTGTTCATTTGCCCCTCTGTCTCTGTCCTGGGGATCCAGGAGTTGACCCCTACAGGGAGGACATTCCAGGGAGATGGGAGCTAGAGCTGTGGGGTGTGATGGGAATGATTGGTGTGCGGGGGTCTTGGGGGCAGTTTGGGTGTAGAGGGAGTATCCAGAATGGGAGAGGAGAACTCAGGCTGGGGGAATCATTGGGGTCAGGGATGGGGTCCTGAGGATCTCGGAGGTTGTGGTGTGTTTAGAGGTGTGTGACCTGGCTCGGGGTCACGGAGGCCATGGACAGCCCCCTGGCAGAGCTGCCCTGAGCACCCTCGTTCCCCACCTAGGTCTGACCTGGAGCTGCAGTTCAAGTGCTACCACCACGAGGACCGGCAGATGAACACCAACTGGCCCGCCTCGGTGCAGGTCAGCGTGAACGCCACGCCCCTCACCATTGAGCGCGGCGACAACAAGACCTCCCACAAGCCCCTGCACCTGAAGCACGTGTGCCAGCCGGGCCGCAACACCATCCAGATCACCGTCACGGCCTGCTGCTGCGTGAGTGTGGTGGGCCAGGGGCAGCGTTGGCACAGGCAGGCCCTGTTTCACGGCATGAGAGTGCGGAATACCCTGCCCCACTCTGGTCCTCAGCCTTGTCCCTGCGTCACCACCCCCGTGCCCACAGCCGCCAAAGATACAGCGTCCCCTTACCTGTGCCCAGGGCCTGTGCAATAACCTTCAAACCGTTGGGCCTTCAAAGCCACTGTGCCCTGGCTTCAGACGTGGCCTCTTCCCCTGGACACTCAGCCTCCGTCTGTTCTCCACACATGCTTCCGATTCACCCCTCCTGGCCCCTCCTCCCTACCCTTCATTCATTGGTGCAGTTCTGTGTTCCTCAAAGCCATGTCCTGCTTGCCTCATTCACCAGCAGTTGTCATTGTCAGCACCTTTTCCCCCAGACCCAACGCCCCCAAACCTGGAGTTAACGCGTTCCCTTCTTTCCCAACCCCCTTGTCTTAGAGTCACGTATGGGGGTCCTTCCAACCCGTGACTTGTTACCTAGGACCAGCTCTCAGCCACCCTCATGTCCCCTGAAGATCAGGGCCCAACACACAGGGCTTGCTCAGGCCCCAGTGGAAGTAAATTGCCTGCCCCACTCCACTGGCCTCTCTGTGGAGGCATGGAGAAGGAAACACTCTGATCCACCCTTGTGAGCTTAGGGGCACGGAGGCTACACAGAGATAGGGGTCACAGACCTGGGCAGCACATCCCATTCTGGCTGGGGAATGTGATGTGCTGTGTGAGGCTGCACAACTGTCAGAGTGAGGCGGCTGATGGGTGGACGTTTGGGATGTGCAGTTCTGGAAGGCTTCCTGGAGGAGTGAAGGGAGGGATGAGCACCCTGGCAGGAAGGGCTAAGGACACATGATGGGGAGGCAGTGGTAGGGGAGGTTAGGAAGCAAAGTGGGACCCAGGCTTAAAGCCTTGTGTCCTATAACCTTATCCAGGGAGTATTTCAGTGTCAAAGTCCACCTTGTCGATCTGCAGCAGAGGCAGCCTTTCCAGAGTAGTGCTCAGGCTCGCAAGTCCCAGGAGACACCCTGGGGGAGCCTCCTGGGCCGGCTGTGGGATCCTGGGAGCAGTCTAGGGCTGCTGAGGCTGCAGGCAGGGCGGGGTGTGGGGACAGTGCACAGGAACTGAGTGTCTCCTCTCTCCCCGCAGTCCCACCTCTTCGTGCTGCAGCTGGTACACCGGCCCTCCGTCCGCTCTGTGCTGCAAGGACTCCTCAAGAAGCGCCTCCTGCCCGCAGAGCACTGTATCACGAAAAGTGAGTCAGGGTGGGGACGGGGGTGAGGGCCAGACTCCATCCCCGCCTGAGTTTGGGACTGAGAAGCAGTCACCATTCACCTGGAACTGACCTTTGCCTCCGTGCATGTCACCACCGGGCCTGGAGTGTCCCTGAGCGCGCCCTGTCCTGAGGCTCATGCCCTCCTCCTGGGGCTGTTGTCGTGGTCAGAGAAGCTAGGTCCCATAAGAGCTGGTGGGAGTTCTGGGACCTGCCCTGTGTGGAAGAGCTGGCAGTCCAGCTTGGGAGCCAGAACAGGCATACCTGCAATAGCAGCACAGGACATGAGGCAGATTAAAACAAAATGTCAGGAAGCAGGCTTCCTGGAGGAGGTGATGACCTGGGCCAGGCCTTTAAAAGATGGGAGGATTTAGAGAAGAGGGGATCTTCATCAGGCAGAAGGCATGGAGGGTGGATTCCAGATTGGCCTCCCTACTTCAACAGCTCATGCTTTTTTTTTTTTTTTTTTTTTTTTGAGAGAGAGAGAGAATGTCGCTCTGTTACCCAGGCTGGAGTGCAGTGGCATGATCTCGGCTCACTGCAGGCTCCGCCTCATGGGTTCACGCCATTCTCCTGCCTCAGCCTCCCAAGGAGTTGGGACTATAGGTGCATGCCACCACGCCCAGCTAAGTTTTTTTTTTTTTTTTTTGAGACGGAGTCTTGCTCTGTCGTCCAGGCTGGAGTGCAGTGGTGCTATCTCCGCTCACTGCAAGCTCCGCCTCCTAGGTTCACGCCATTCTCCTGCCTCAGCCTCCCGAGTAGCTGGGACTACAGGCGCCCACCACCGCACCTGGCTAATTTTTTGTGTTTTAGTAGAGACGGGGTTTCACCGTGTTAGCCAGGATGGTCACAATCTCCTGACCTCACGATCCGCCCACCTCGGCCTCCCAAAGTGCTGGGATTACAGGCGCGAGCCACCACACCTGGCCAGCTTATGCTTAAACTCAGGAGAGGACTGGGCACAGTGGCTCATGCCTGTAATTCTAGCACTTTGGGAGGCCGAGGCGGGAGTCCAGGAATTCAAGACTAGCCTGGCCGCATAGTGAGAGCCTGTCTCTACAGAAAAATAAAAAATTAGCCAGGTGTGGTGGTTTGTGCCTGTGGTCCCAGCTGCTCAGAAGGCTGAGGTGGGAGAATTTGTTTGAGCTGGGGAGGTCGAGGCTGCAGTGAGCCATGATCAAGCCACCACACTCCAGCCTGGGCAACACAGCCAGACACTGCCACAAAAAAAAAAAAAAAAAAAAAAAATTGGGATGGAGGGACTTGGCTTGGAGTCCCCTTTGAAGGAGACTCCGGGTGTGGACTCGGGCCCTGTGCAAGAGGTACAGGGCCACTCTTCACATTGCTGCCCTGAGTCCTGGGATTCCAGCAGGCAGCTGTCCGTTTCCATTTCCACATGTGCAGAGTGAAGTGCAGGAGTGCCTGAGGGGGCTTTTCACTGACCCAGTAAATCAGAGAAGTGCCATAATGACTTTCCATGAGCTTTGCAGACATGCCCCTTCCTCGCGAAGGCAGGGCCTGCTCTGCAGAGACAGGGGAACTGCCACAGCCACCTCGTCTGGCACACACACACCACACGTGTCCCACATGGAGACAGCAGCCCGGGCACCCGGCCCTGTGACTGCCACACAGTGCCACACACTGCCCTCTCAGCGTTTGGTGTGGGCTGGGAGGAGAACCAGGACATGCCCCAGCTGCACGAGGAAGTGGGGAGCACGTGCAGACCCCCTACCTCTGCAGGACTGTCTTGCCATCCTCACCTGTCTGTGCCTCCTGCCCCGCAGTCAAGCGGAATTTCAGCAGCGTGGCTGCCTCCTCGGGCAACACGACCCTCAACGGGGAGGATGGGGTGGAGCAGACGGCCATCAAGGTGTCTCTGAAGTGCCCCATCACATTCCGGCGCATCCAGCTGCCTGCTCGAGGACACGATTGCAAGCATGTGCAGGTGAGCGGCCCCAGAAAGCACAGCTCTGGCAAGCCACCTAGACTCTGGCTGGGATGGTGAGGGGTAGGCAGAGGGGCAACAGAGCCTGTCCTAACACTGTCCTGAAGGACGTCATGGAGATCAGCAGCTGGCGTCACTCATTAATTTCCGCCATCATTTATCTTTGAGCATCTTTTCTGTGTGCTTAAGGCCAAAGGGGCTACAGAAATGGGTTCGGACAGCCCCTGCCCTGGCAGATGGCAGATGCCAGCTGGAAGTCCCACACACATGTCAGGGCTGATTGGGGGCCCAAGAGCAGGGACACCACTGTCCAGTTCATGCCTCTGTCCAGGGCCTTGCATCAAGTCAGTGTTCAGGAAGTAGCCCTGGCGTGAGTGACAGCCCCAGTCTGAGCAGGCAGTGACAGAGCAATGAGTAAACATGGGCAGCCCGGCCTGGAAGAAGAAGGAGCCGTCTTCTGGAACCTGGGTGTGGTGGGCATGCAGAAGGGGCCCAGGGCTGTCACCTGCAGCTGGTCCTGAGGGTGCAGTGGGACAGGAGCTTCCCCTCCTCCCTCCCAAAGAATGCTGTGGGCAAGAGGATGGTCTGGTCACTTTATCTATCTGATACAGATGGATGAACTTGATCAGACTTGTCTTCGGTGCCTGGGCTGGGCTGAAGGGGCTACCCCTGGCCTGGTTGAAAGGGGCTATTACAGGGCAAAAAACAGTGAGTCAGCTGGGGTGGGAACCAGGAAGGCTTCTCAGAGGATGTAGGCACAGGGTCATTTGGGGCATGGGAGGTGGTGTGAGGGATGCTGGGGTGGAGGCATAAGGACTCTGCGTGGCAGAAAGGTAGCATTGCTTTCATTCCACCCAGCCCCAGCCCGGGGTTTCTCCCACAGCCTATCTTTCTCTCTGGTGGGGAAGTTATTCCAAGGGTCCCTGAGGCACATCTAGGCAGTTTCTGACAGTCCTGGTCTCACCTGTGTCTGTCTGTCTGTCTGCAGTGCTTTGATCTGGAGTCATACCTGCAGCTGAATTGCGAGAGAGGGACCTGGAGGTGTCCTGTGTGCAAGTGAGTGATGCCCACCCCGGTGGGGGCTTCCCCCATCCCCCAACCACAGACGGGAGGGGCCAGCTACCTCCCACCTCCACCTGCCCTAAATGCAAACCAGAACCCAAACATGGCAGAGGGGCTCAGGTTATGGGGGCTCCAGGTGGTCCCTTGGTATCACGCGGTCAGAGTCCCCCTCTCTTGTGCCTCCAGTAGTAACCAGCAGCAGGGGTGGGACCCCACTGACACTGAGGTGGATGGGCTTTGCCCCTACCTCCTTGGGTCCTGGAGCAGAGGCCAAGCTCCCCATCTCCTTTTCCAGTAAAACCGCTCTGCTGGAGGGCCTGGAGGTGGATCAGTACATGTGGGGAATCCTGAATGCCATCCAACAGTAAGTGGGGCCCTAGCGAGGGGCAGGGGGTGGGAGGGGACGAGGCCTGGATTAGAGCAAGGTGAGCAGGTGGATAGCCCTGACACAGCCCTCCCCTCCCAGGCCAGCAGACCGTGACCCACATCCCCCACCTCTCTGTCCCTTACCCTCGGGGGCCTCTGGATCTGGGGACAAATGAACTTCCCAGAAAGCATGAAAGCCAGCCACAGCAGGAGGCTGACAGTGCCCCGCCCCGACCCTCCACCTGCTGCTCCCCACGAGGGAGCCCTTGAGGCCAGCTGCCCTGTGCCCAGCCACTTGCTTTTCTAGCCTCAGTCTCCCCATATGTCAAAGATATATAGAGAAATCCCTGCCAGGCTTCCGCCTCGTCCACAGTGTGGTGAGAGTGGGAGCAGGGGCCTCAACAAGGTCACCTGGGTGTCTGTCGGAGCTGGAGGTGCTTTTATGCCCAAAGCCAGGCACCCCGGAGCCTCAGCTCTGCCACCCTTCCTCCCCCAGCTCCGAGTTTGAAGAGGTCACCATCGATCCCACGTGCAGCTGGCGGCCGGTGCCCATCAAGTCGGACTTACACATCAAGGACGACCCTGATGGCATCCCCTCCAAGCGGTTCAAGACCATGAGTCCCAGCCAGATGATCATGCCCAATGTCATGGAGATGATCGCAGCCCTGGGCCCCGGCCCGTCCCCCTATCCCCTCCCGCCTCCCCCAGGGGGCACCAACTCCAACGACTACAGCAGCCAAGGTGGGTGATGCCAGGCAGGGAGGAAGGGAGAAGGAGGGCAGCCCCAAGTCCCTGCAGAGGCACAGAATTTCTGTGCTGATGGTGGCAGGGGTCGGGGGTGTGGTTGAAGAGAGAGAAGTAACACATCCCCCAAAAAACAATTCCCAGTTTGCTAGACTTGAGGGTACATGGGCCTAGCCCAGGGGCTTCAGAGCCTGCCCTGGTGGGAGATAGACTGCTGCCTCTTCCCTCCCACACCCACCCGAGTTCTTGGCCTTACCCCTTGCCCTCCTGTATTTTTTCTGTGATATCTACATTTCCCCTGCAACTTTCCTGCCCTCCTAGGGACAGAGTCCAGGTTCCTAGAGCCTCAGCCTTTGGCCACCAAGGTCACCCACTGGCCCTTACGCTCCCGGCTGCCCAGACCAAGTTTTACTCCTACTGCCACTGATTCCTGGAAAGTACCCCCACTGGGTGGCAGCTCCCCCTGGGATCCGTGATCTTAGGTCCCCATGAGAGGCCCAGTGAGGTTAGGCCACCTAGCCGAACTCCCACAGTGTGCCAAGGGCCAAGCCTCCCAGTCTGCTGATCCTCTGACCCTTGCCATCGCCACATGGTGGAGGGCACAGTGACCAGGGAGGCGGAACAGCTGGCTTCTGCGGGTGTCATCCTGAGTCTGCTGCAGCTTTCTTTGTGGGCTTGGCAGAACATGCACCCACTCTGGGCCTGGGTCTTGCTGGGTATGAAAAGTGCCCACATTGGGGAGTAGCTCAGCAGGTCTGCTCTAGGCTCAGGCCATGTCCCCCACTCCCCACAGGAGCCTGGCCCGCCCCCTTTGTCCCACTCTGCCCCCTCCTCCATAGCAGTAGGGGCAGCACATCCCCTAGGGTACCACAGACCACGGGACAGGGCTGAGTGGCTGCTCTATCCTACAGCCCGGAAGCCTCGGGCTGCTGTGACCTACTACAGCCTCGCAAGAGGAAAAGGACTTGGCTTGTATTTTTACACACTCTCTGTTCCCTGGGGGTGGCCACTATCCCTCTGGGTGACCCCCTCCCCTCCCCATCTCATCCCTTCCTAGGCAACAACTACCAAGGCCATGGCAACTTTGACTTCCCCCACGGGAACCCTGGAGGGACATCCATGAATGACTTCATGCACGGGCCCCCCCAGCTCTCCCACCCCCCGGACATGCCCAACAACATGGCCGCCCTCGAGAAACCCCTCAGCCACCCCATGCAGGAAACTGTGAGTACCTCCTCCTCACCCCATTCCATTCCCCAGCCTTTGGGGTTGATGCCTTGGGATCTGGATACCCTGTTCCCTCCCAGGCAAGGCAGAGGATGAAGAATTGGGTGTGTGGGCTCAGAATGGAATAGGAGGGGTCTAACTGAGGCTACGTCGTGCCCTGTCAGTGTCCTTAGACTTGGCTGTTTTACCTAGGATTTCGGATTCTCTGGAGATGGGGGAAGCTTCAGGCTCTTCCCCAAACCCTCACCACCCCATGCATACACACACACGTGCATGCACTCGCCACTACCCAGCACACGCCATCAGCCCTCTCCCTCTCCCACTTGCACAATCTTACACTCACCTAACACGGTTCCAGCCACCTCAACTTTTGTCCCAAACCCAGGCACTTATTCTCCAAGGATCTGAATTCAGGGTATTACCACCTCCAACAAAAGAAATGCTAGGAAGTCTGATTATCTGAAGAGCATTCACTTCTCATTCTGTTTCACACTTATCGACATATGCCCTGTGTGGCTGAGGACGTCCCTGGTGGGGTAAGGTGTCCTGTGTTGTCCACAGGCCCTCCCTTCCTGTGGCCCCAGTGGCAGTGGCAGGAGGCCCTCCTGTCCCCTGGAGTCCTCATCCAGTGAGTGCCACGTGGTTCCACTCATTTTAACAAGCGTTTTTTGAGCTGTGCTCTGCGCAGGCCATGTGACAGGTGTAAGCAAGACAGACAGGCCTTGGGCTAATGGAGTAAAACTCCTGGCAGTGCGTGGGTGCAGGAAGAACAGTTGGAGTTTGGAGAAACTGAAGCCTCCGGAGGCTGAAGTGGTGTGTCTGAGGTCTCAGTCATTCTGGGCTCTCATCTTGGGGAGGAGGGGCCATCACTGAGCACGTGGCTGGGGGTCCTGGGCCACACCAGCCAGGGAGAGGGCCCGGGGTCCTGCCAGAGTCTGGCAGTGGGCTTGGGTGGCCTGCACAGGAAGGAGCCTCTGGATTATACTGCCTTCCACACACCTGACATGGAATTGCCTCAGGACTCTAGGTGAGGTAGCAGCAACTTTCCCTCAGGACCCCAGGAGTCCAAGTCGGAAATAGATGCTTTGTGGAGCTTTGGCCAAGTTTTTCAAAGTTACTCTCTGCCCCATGGGGCTTGTGATTTCTGGGGGCTTCTTTCCTGATGCCCCTTCCTGGGCCCTGAGGGCATCCCACACCCAGAAGACACCAAAATCACACCCCCCGACACACACACATCCTGCGCCCTCACAGTTCCTAACACTGGAATATGGAGTGCTGATGCCGTCTATTTCCCCTTGACAATCAAGCTTTCTCCTGCCTTCTGTGAGCCCCGCTGCCTGCATTCTGTGTGGCTTGATCTGAGCCTGTGAGTTGACCTCAGAGCCCCTTAAGATGCTCTCTAGATGGTCCTGTCCTCCATTTCTGAGCTCTCACTAGAGGGCAAGCAGACCTGGAAGTGCGGATGTGCCAGGCCGGTGGGGCAGGGCAGTCACAGGTAAACTTCTACCACACCTGCCCAGGTGGAGGCAGCCACACCCCCAGCTGAGCCCAAGGCTGGGAGGCACTGCCATGCCCGCAGAGACTGGCCAGAGCGCTCTATCCAGATGCTGCTGCCCCCACAGACTGCCCATACTTGGTGGCGGGTTGACAGGTGTGTCAGCAGTGCTCCAACAGCACCTGCCCCTCCATGCCGGAGACATTCCAGCCAGATACGAAGCTGAGGGGCACAGCTGCCTCTGAAGATCCAGGGACTGTCTGTCTTGAGCTGGGCTGCACAGCTGGAGTGTGGAGCCCCTCCCTGCTCTCCCAGGGTGGGCACTGAGGGCATCTACAGGAGTGGGAGCCCTAAGCTGGCCTCTCACTGACCATGGGTGGTGGCCCATTCCTCCAGCCTCTTGTATGTGTCTCATAAACGGGTCTCCCAAGGTCTCCAGCAGCACCGTTGCGAGGTCGTCTCATTCTTGGGGCTTGGACTGGAAGGGCACTGTGCTCCCTAAGGCCGCATGGGGTTGGGGCCCTACACCCTGAGAAGGGGACACCTGGACCGTGGGCAGAGCCCGACCCATAGCAAGGCCTGGGAAACAGTTTTAGGAGAAACAGGAAGAGGAAGGAAGTTGGGGATGGGCAAAGACCGAGGATGGTGTGGCTGCAAATTCTAAATGCACACAGGAAGAACATGTCAGTGTGTTCTGTGTGGCTGCCCCAGGATGGGGCAGGGTGAGGGGATGAAAAGACCAAGGAAGCATGTGCCAGGCTGCTGTTCCAGTGGAGCACCTGGAGCATCCGTGAGCCCCTCTCACTGGCAGAGCGAAAGTGGGGCTGGGGGCTGTCAGGGATGCTTGCAGTGGGATCAGGGCTTGGTCTGCGAGGATTCCCCGGCCTTTCACTTTGAAGGAGGATCTGCTTGGGACAGCAAACAGGCTAGCAGGGGAATGTTCACATCTCACCCACCCACCCACAGACAGCCCAGTTTTCAGTGCACGTGCCCACAGGAGGGTGCGAGTCCTCTAGTTATCTGTTAGAGAGGCACCGCCAGCCTCACCCTCAGCAAGACACCCACCATTGGTGAACCGTCACTCAGTCTCCTTGTCCTTGGAGTCCCAGAGGTGCCTGCCTCCCTCACAACCCTGTGTTTTTGAGGGCTGGTGCCGACCAAGTGGGATGTCTAGGAAAAGGGTCTGGCAGGGTGTGAAGATGCCCCTGGCTGGCCAGGTGCCCACCCAGCCCTGCTCCTCTGACAGCCAAATTCCACCCGCGCTGCAGGGCTTGTGCCAAGGCCCCAGCTGCTCCACACTTCGGACTGGCAGAAGGCGCCTTCGTACCCAGCATCACCCCTGCCCAGGGCCCACTTGGGAGGTGCAGACCCAGTCCTGAGCCGCACGCCCGCCCAATGCTGTCTGTCTGTGTCTGCTCTCTGCCGCCCAGCTTGGGATCTGCACCACGCTGAGGCAGCCGCCCTCCTGCCTCCCGCTCCCCGGAACATGCCCATTCTGCTTCTCCATCCTGCCCTCGCTGTTGTTCGTTGTCTGGGCGGGGAGGTGGAGGGGCCTGGGGGAGCCCAGGCCCAGCTCCCCGTGTCTGTGCTTGTGTCGAAGCCCTCCCCACCTCCTGGGGCTCCACGTGGCCCGAGAGGTCCCCGCCGTCCCCCTGCAGCCTCCCTGATGGGCGGTTTTGGGGGAGAAATTTTTCTTTGTTTCTCTGCCCAGAAACAACGTTCAGCCTCGTACCGGGTGGCCACGTTTCGGGGGTTGTGACTTCCCTGGTTGTGTTGGGTTTCATTTTCTCCAGGCATCATCGCCGTGCCTCCTCACCTCACCTCTCTTCTCTCCCGCTCTCTCCTCCTCCACAGATGCCACACGCTGGCAGCTCTGACCAGCCCCACCCCTCCATACAACAAGGTTTGCACGTACCACACCCCAGCAGCCAGTCAGGGCCTCCATTACATCACAGTGGGGCTCCTCCTCCTCCTCCTTCCCAGCCTCCCCGGCAGCCGCCACAGGCCGCTCCCAGCAGCCATCCACACAGCGACCTGACCTTTAACCCCTCCTCAGCCTTAGAGGGTCAGGCCGGAGCGCAGGGAGCGTCCGACATGCCGGAGCCTTCGCTGGATGTAAGTTGGGGTCGCCACTCGCCTTGGCCTGGGGCTAGGCCTGGCGCCGGGACCTGCCCGAGAGAAGGGGTGGGTGTGAGGGCTCGAGGCCCCGAAGGGAGGAGGTGGGTGGGCGGTGGGAGGGCTTCACCCAGACCTGGCTCCAGACCAGGAAGCCCCATGATGGGGAAGTGTCACCACTGAGGGTCCCCACCCTGCTGGCTCCTGTCCCCCCAGTCCCTTTGGCCATAGCCCTGAACCCCAGCCCTGACCCACCTTCTGACCCAAGCCCTGCGGGGTCCCTTGCGCAGCACAGGAGGGTCCCTGCCCTCCCCCGATGGTGAGCTTGCGGTTTCTGTGTCTGCCTCTCTGGCCCGGGCAGGGAGGGCTGGAGGGAGAGGCCGTCTGTCTGCCTCGCTGGTGTGTGTCTGTCTCCAGTTTTCTTGTCCGCGTGTTGTCCATGCCCTGCTTCTGCTTGCTCCATCGCTCACTCCAAGAGGCCCCCATGTGGGTGACAGAAGGTGGGGGCAGAGGGGGCAGCCTTGGGTCACAGCCAGGGGCAGCAGGCCATCATGGGCAGCAGAGGTGCCAGGGCTCCTACCCTGAGGTCTGGAAGATGGTGGGGGTCACCCTGGATGATGGGGCTGGGCTGCTGGATGGGGCTGGCGGGATGGGACTGAGCACCGGCCCCGCCCATGCCTACACAGAGCTGGTGCCAGACTCCGGGAGGAGGCTTGTCCTCGGCCCCTCCTGTTCTTCACCCCCAGCCCTGCTCTGTCAGCCTCTGCCCTGCAGCATCAGAGGAGCTCTGTGCTAGCTAGGACTCACTCACTGTGCAGCCATCTCAGGTCCTTGCCCAGTGTTCCCCCTCAAACCAGGCCAGTGGGGCTGCTTTTAGATGCATGAGGCTCCCCATGTGACAGACTCCAAGGATATCTCAGTAGAGGGTAGAGACAGTCTGCATCCCCTCCGGGGCCACAGGGAAGGATGGCTGCCAGCCAGCCACAGGCTCACCAAGGAGTGGCGAGCCCTTGAGAAGAGGGATGTTGGGGGGTTGGGGGCGGTGCAGGAACCACTCGCCTTCCCGCCTTCCCACCAGCCCACCTCCTTGTGCTTACACGTGAAGCATGTGATTTCAGCTGGGAGGCCCAAGTGACCTGCCATGGGGCCTTCCCAGGTTAGGGCTGAAGTCCATGCCTGAAAAGGGTCAGCCCTGCTCAGGCCTCAGCTGGTGGGCTGCGGGTCCCAATCCTGAGGCTTGAAATGAGCATGGGGGTGCCCCACACTCGGTGCAGTGGCCGGGGTATGTGTGGGGATACCTGGCAGGCCCAAGCCCAAGGCTGTTCTCTACCCCTTTTTTTGGCTAGGGTCCTGAGAGGCAGGTGGAGGGGGACGGGCCAGGGCGCCCCTGCATTCCTCACCCGGGGCCTGCCTCTCAGGCACACCTCATCTGAACTTCATTACTCCTTCTTTTCCAGCTCCTTCCCGAACTCACAAATCCTGACGAGCTCCTGTCTTATCTGGACCCCCCCGACCTGCCGAGCAATAGTAACGATGACCTCCTGTCTCTATTTGAGAACAACTGAGGGCCACCCGGTCGGGGCCATCCCTCCACACTCTGCATCCTACCCCACCTACCCAACACACTTTTCCACCTGGGAGCCTGTGCCCTCAGACCGCCCCGCACCAGAGCCACGGGCTGTGGGGCGGGGAGCCCTCCCCCGCTGCAGCCCTCTCAGAACAGAGGGGTAGGGAGGGTGCACCAGTGCACCAGGAAGGCTGTGTGGGTCTGGAGCCCACGTCCCACCTCCACACCCTTGGCTTGGGCCCATGCCCAGCGCAGGCCTGAAGACCACCCTCCCGAGAGGAACCAGCCCGGTAAGAGGGCACACGCTGATGCGGCTTCCCGGTCCCTCCGCGTGTGCCGATTCCAGATGACCTTCCAGTGTCCCCAAGGTTCTTCCATCTTCTAGACTGTAACCCTGCCTCCCTGCTTCCTGGTCCAGAGCCTCCCTCCAGTGACTGTGGAGCCTGAGAAGGCCCCCGGGCCCCAGCATGGGCCCCGAGCCTTGGAGGAGCACTGGCAGTTGGTGGCAGTGAGACCAGCCCACCCACCACCACCCACCACAGAAAAGCACAAACCTCTGGGAAAGACAACGTCTCTCGGGGGCCAGGGGTCATCGGTTTGACCCCTGACCTATAAGCCAAGATACCCCATAAACACACTCAGAAAGCAGAGAAAAAGGACAAGAGTCTGTGTTTGAGAGGGGGTCTGCCATTCCTGCTTGGGGACTGGTGGGGAAGAGGGCCAGGACATCTTCTGAGCCAGGACGTCCCTGAGGCTCCACCTCCAAGCTCAGACAGGGCCCAGGCTTGGGGAACAGAGAGAGCAGGTGTACACCCAACCAAAGTGATTGTGCCCTTGGTTGGGGGGCGCGGGCATATAACCTGTCAGAAGCAAACAGGAGCGGCAACTTCTAACTTTGCTCCAAGCCACTCTCTTTTTAAACAGCAACAATTTAAAGCTATGAAGTCACCTGGAGAAAAGGAACGTTGCTCTTGGACAGCAAGCAAACCATTTCTCTCCGTCTGTTCTGTTTTTCTCCTAGTCCCTCTCCTGCCACCTCTCCAAGACTTCCGTGGGACACCCACTTCCCTCTGTCCTAGTTCTCTTTGTCCAATCAGATGGCAAGGGCAGTGCGTGGAAAGGCCGGGGAGGTGCAGAAACCAGAGCCCAGGGCAATGGTGTCTGTCCAGCCCCTCCCTCTGTCCCTGTGCTCCAAGCTGCCCCCGGCTGCAGCCCAGGCCATGGACATGTGCACCAGTATGTACCTGCAGGCATGGGGGGGAGGGGGGCGTGTTTCTGGGCCTGCCCCAGACACTGCCCTTGGCTGCCAGCCTACCCTGCCTGCACTCCTCCACCATCACAATCTCACCCAAACTCCTGCTCACTCAAGCAAAAGCAGCCTCTGGCCTTCCCTCCACCGCTTTGCTCCATCTGGCTTACCACTCTCCAGGGCCTCCTGGGGAGCCTGTCCTGTGTTCACTTTGTTTCAGGCTGGTCTGTGCCCCGTGAGCCACATGGCCTAGGGTGATGCCAGGTTGTCCCGTCACTGGGGTCCCATCTGTAAATTCTTTGCGCCCTTCCCGGCTGCTGCCTGGGGCCCTTTCCTGCTCTCCCGTCCGCTGTGGGTGGTCCCCAGCTCTCCTCTGTGGGTTTTACCGGAAAGGTGGCCCCAGCTGTTGACTTCCAGTCACTGTCCCAGACGGCACAAGGTTTTCTGTAGGAAAGCTGCCATTGCCCCGGCCCCTTTTCTTCCTTTGTCCCGTTGTCGAGGTTTTTTCAAATAGCGTGTTGTTCAGTATGCAAATCAATTATTTTAAGAATCGCTTTTGTAAATATCTTTGTGAATATTTTAGTATCGTCTTTGATAATATTCAACATTTTCATGACCTGGTTATAGCCTTTGCTGGTGTTTTTAAAATACCTGGACTCAATGACAAAGACCGAGTCTTCTTTTTTTTTAAACAAAAACAAAAAAAGCAACCAGGGCTATTTGTACAGTTGAAGGGGTGAACAGAATGGGCGGCTGTGCTGGGAGTTGGAAGACCGGGCAGCCCGCTATTTAGAGCCATCCCTCAGTCAGCTGGCAGGGACAAGCCAACGCCAGGTAGCATGTGGCCACCCTTGCCCAGTGTCTGTGGCCTGGCAAGTGGCCACGCCCTGTGTCAGACCATCTGGGAATTAAGCTCCAGACAGACTTACAGATGCCTTCCTTAGGAGTTCTTGCTTCTTGCGTTGATACTTTGCCCCAGAAAGGCCTGGGATTCATTCTGGTTCTTATCAGGGTGTGTCCACACTCTGCTCACAGGTGGATCCACGGCTTTCCAGTGCGGAGAGTCGAGATGCTCCCTGCAGCCCAGGCCCCGGGCACCTCCTGCAACCATCTCTGGGCTCAGCACCTGAGGCGGGTTTCCTGGGTCCCCTCTCCAGCAAGCCTCCACCAGCAAGCTCGGCCCAGAGCTTCCCTTCCGGCTGGCTCTGAACCGTGCGTGGTGCCTACAGCCTGCAGTCTGGAGACAAGCTCTTCCGGAGTGCTCTGGGAGCCAGGCCAGGGTGTGAGGGAGGTGCAGAGGCATCCGGGGCGGGAGCAAGCCCCAGGTTGTGACAGGTGCAGGTAGACAACGCCCATAAACAGAGATGGTCCTGAACTCTGGAGAGATCCTTCCCTGATCCTTTCGGACGACTACTTGGAGCCATAAGTAACCTCAGCAAAAACGAGGCCTCTGCAAGCCACTTTTCCATGCCAAGCATCCACCCGGCCCACAGGCATGTTTCTGCCGCCACTCCGCAAGATGGACAGGGAGCCAGCAGGCAGGCGGGAAGGGCCAAGTACAGGCAATCACCCCCATCTTCTTGGTTTGAAGCTTTATCCATGTATCATGTTCCGTGTAGCCATTTTATTTTTTAAGAAACTGCTAATACTTTCTCCCTAATGGAAGCCCTGATCCCCCAGAGAGCTACAGGTCTGCTCCCGACGGGCCTCGGGCCTGACCCGTCCACACAGGGCCGTGTCAACAGCAGCGACTCAAGGGACGTGTGTACATATGTAAATGAGAAATAGAGACGTGTCAACAGATGCATTCATTTCTCTTGGAATGTGTATTGTTTTTATTTTGCGAAACAAAACAAAACAAAAAAAAAAGCTTGGAACTCCATCACGTGGAAAAACTAGATCCTGTTGGTTATAGCATTTGTGAGTTCTCCACGTCTGTCTCTCTCGCTCATGTAATATACTCTGACCCTGAGTGGAAAGGGGTTTTTGTTCTGTTTTTATTTTACCTACATGTACTATTTAGCTTCAGTGTACTAGTCCTGCCACCTGTGTATTTTTAGGGTGCTATGGAAATAATGAAAAGAAACGGGGATTTCAGAAGAAAATTGTAACCAAATTCATACTTTGTATAATTTTTGATATCATGATCACAGGTGATTCACACGTACACACATAAACACACCCACCAGTGCAGCCTGAAGTAACTCCCACAGAAACCATCATCGTCTTTGTACATCGTATGTACAATGCAATCATTTCATACTTTAAACTGGTCAAAAAACTAATTGTGATTTCTAGTCTTGCAAAGCTGTATGTAGTTAGATGATGTGACAACCTCTAATATTTATCTAATAAATATGTATTCAGATGAAACCTGTATATTAGGTGTTCATGTGGTTATTTTGTATTTAAAGATCAAATTATTTGACTATTGCTAGACATTTCTATACTCTGTTGTAACACTGAGGTATCTCATTTGCCCATGTTAATTTTTTTCTAAATAAATTGACAAAAACAAAGGTTTGGCGAATTAGCTATTTTGTGGATGTTAAGGAGTGGTTTGGGTGTTTTTGCTTTTGTTTTAAACCACACCCCCCGCCCTGTTACCCTCTGCACACACAAAAAAGAAAGGCAGGTGGTTTGGGTGTTGAATTGGAAGAACCCCTGTCCATGGGGGTCCCTGGAACCAGTCCCTGGTGGGGCAAGTGCAGTGTGTGGCCGGATGGTTGGGGGAGTTGGGGTGGCTGAATAGGGCCAGGTGGCTGCAGGGTGCTAGGGGCCCCTGTGGCATGTGACTCAGAGTGTGCAACAGTGTCCCATCTTTGATGGTCCCTTGTGGATTATGCTGGGTTTAAGTAGCAGGAAGCTATTCATATTAAGCCACAGAGGGTGCTGTTCAGAGCACACAGGAGTGTGGCTTCAATGGAGAGTGAGCATTCACTGCACCCATGGCTCCCTGCTGGCATCTCAGCATCCCTGGCCTCCACCTCTCGGTACACCTGCCCCTCCCCTCCTAGGGAAGCTTGGGTTTTCCCTCCTCCGTGAGCATGCTTTACATGGGGTACTGTCTCACGATAGCCCCTGCCCAGGCCATGGTTCTAACCATCCTTCCAGCCTCGGCACCAACACAAACTGACAACACTTGATGTGTCTCCGATTGAAGTTTTAGGAACATGCATCTGACACAGCCCCGCAGCCAGTCCCTGCCCTCCCTCCACGCAGCCTCACCTTAGGGGGAAAGCAAATGTGGCTGTCATGGCCTTTCCTCCACAGGGACTGTCCACAGAGGGAAGAAGGGCCGGGCCGGCACCCCAGAGATCTCCACTCAGATGTATCCGGGTGTCAGGAGAGTGAGGGGCATGTGTGTGCAGGAGCCGGCGGTGTGGGGGAGGCTGCAGGGTGCTGCCTGTAGGGGGCTGGGTGCCTAGAAGCCCCCTGCTCCTGGGGCCTCTCCGAGGTGGCTGGAGTTTCTCCTTTTGGAGGGAGGTGGAAGGTGAGGAGGAGAAAAGATTTACCTTAAATAATGGAACACCCACCGGCCACTGCTCAGCTGCAGGCACTGCCTTCTGCCAGCATCACCAGGACAGGCTGACTCTCTCTGAACAGACACCCCTCCGAGAGGAGGGTGATTAGTTAGCTTGAGGGAGAACTTCCCGTAGGAGACATGCCCCCCTCCCTGTGCCTTAGAGCAGTGTGGTGGGGCTGGACCAGCACTTTAATAAAACAAATGAGAATACAGTAGAAAATATCAGGAGTGTGCCCTACAAAGTAAAGGGTAGCATTCTATCAAGAAACGTGTGTGTGTGTGTGTGTGTGTGTGTGTGTGTGTGTGTGTGTGTCTGCTGAGTCATGATGTTAATTCTTATTTGTGGGTTGTGGTTGAAAACAAAAAGTTTGAATGCCATTGACTTAAAGGCAGGAAGTGGGCAGGGGAGCAGGGAGGGAGGAAGGGCAGTGTGCTCCCCCAACTTCATGATAATAAGCAAACCTTCCTGGCATTTCAGCTGGAGACTCTGAACCTGGGATACAGGCCTGTGGCTGCCCCACAAGGCTGTATGGAGACTGGCCGGCCCCATCTCAGCTAACTCCTCCCCAGACGGGTGACTTCCTTCTGTGAGCCTAACCCCTGGACCAGAAACATCCACCTAAAAAGCCCAGTGGGGGCCCTGGCTTGGGACAGTTCAGAGTTCAGCCTCCCAGCATGTGGGGCCACACACTGTGGATCATCTTACGTCTCTTCTTCCTCTAGCCCACTGCAAAAAGTCTCCACCCTGAATCCACTGACTGTCTTCATGTAAGGCCATGGGATGCTATTGGGGAAATTCATTCAGCCCCACAGGTCGATGTCAGGATACACTGGGGTCTCCAGCCTCCCTGAATGCTAAGGGCACTCAATGTTTAATGGCCCCCCATTTCCCTTCTCCTCTGCTCCAGCCTCCTGCTAACCACGCCCACCTCGCTCTAAGCAGGCTACCCTACCCTCACCCAGCTCCCCACTGTCCCTGCTGCTACCCACAGACCTATCTCCATCCACCCTGGCCATATCTTTTTCCACCCAGGCCCAGAGGATGTGGTGTCCCTTCCCCAGTTGGGGCTACCCCTCCCCCAGCCCCTGACACCATCACCCCTTTCTCTTCTCCAAGGAGTCTCATTCTATCAGCCCGTTAACCCTCCCCATACCTCTGCCTCCCGCCTCCCCGGGTTTAGTGGCCCAGGCTCTGGCATTGCAAGGTTCAGCTTGGTCTGGGCTCCACCCCTTGATGGCCAGTCTCTGCTCCTTCCCATGCAGGCTTCTCAGCCACAAAACTGCCAGTGCCCACTCTCTTTCTCTGTCACCCTTCATATGCCTGGTTCATGCCCCACCAGTTCTCTGACACTTCTCCTGCAAGCTCACCAATGGCCTCTTCGTTGCTGATCCACGCTGCTTTCTGAGACTGGACCTCACAGCTGCACTTGACAGTTGCCATTTCTTCCTTGAAGCTCTCTTCTCTTGGTGCTATGGTTTGAATGCTTGTCCCCCCCACCACAACTCATGGTGAAACTTAATCCCCGGTGTAACAGTACTAAGAGGCAGGCCCTTGGGTCATAAGGGCTCTGCCTTCATGAATGGATTGATGGATTAATGAGTTGGCAGATTCATGGGTTATCATGGGAGTAGGTCTCTTATAAAAGCCAACTTGGCACGCGCTTGCCCTCCTCGCCACATGATGCCTTCTGCCATACTACAATGCATCATGAGGCCCTCACCAGATGCAGCCACCCAATCTTGAACTTCCCAGCCTCCAGAAGCATGAGCTAAATAAACTGCTTTTCTTTATAAATTACTCAGTCTCGAGTATTCTGTTAGAGCAACAGAAAAGAGATGAAGACACTTGAATCCATGACAACTTCCTCTTTCATCTGTTTAGTTTTCCTGGCATCCCTCTGTGCCTTCCTTGTCTTCTCCGCAGGTTCCTATGGTAACTAGGTACTTGTGGTGCTTCATCAGGATCTTCTTCACCGACTGGCCCACCCATCCTGCCGCTGCTACGGGTGTTGGCCGCCAACAGCCCAGAACGTGCCCCTTTATCAGAGAATTTCCCTCAGCTCACAGAAACCTCCATGCCTGACAGGTTACCTGCCCCCTATCCCCACACATGCACCCCTGCCAGGCAGCGCACAGCCAAAATTGACTGCCACAAGGAATAAAAGGCCTCTTGGCTGGGGCATGATCAGTGCTCTCAAATCCTCCCTGTGGGTCAGGTCAGGGCTAGACTTTACCTGAGGCCACATGCTAACTCCACTCTCTCCCCTTCCTTGTTCTGCCTGCCTCCCTCATAGGTTTCTCCCAAGATCACTCCCTCAATAAATCATGGAATCAGCATGCCTGTCCTATGCTCTGCTCCTATCCAGATCGAAGACAGTGGGTGCTGGGAATGGGTCTGGGAGGCAGGCTCTGAGGATAGGATGCTGGAGAGGTACCACTGACCAGATGACAATGAGGACCCACCACTAGTGGCAGGAATTGGGTAGCAGTGTGCACCTGTGGTGAACTGGGATGGGACACAGGTGAAGGAGCTACACAGCCACAGCAATGTATCCGGCATCTGAGAGATATGGGCAAAGAATAACTATTAAGACTATGGACTTGCTAAATGTGGCTATTACTAAATGTCACCAATGCATTGAAGAAAGGAAATTACAGTTACAAATATCTTAACTGGCAATTTAGAGTGTGCGCATCAGAGGAAACTTCTTGGCAGGAAGCATTGGAAAGCGCTTACCTTCTGCAGCCAGAGGGCAGATGGAGTGACAATCAGGCAGAGGACTCATTGGAAAAGCAGCAGAACTTGAGTAAAGGCTGAATTCTCCATCAAGGGAGGTCTCCTATATCCAAATCAGGCCCCTGGTAGGGAAGGAGACACCAAGACTTGGGATGAGGACTGTCATACCAATGCCTCTCACAAAAAATGTTTATTATGACCAGCTGACAGAGAAGGGAAATTCTTGAGTTTGGGTCACAGATGGGTTGACTTGGCCTGTGGGTGTAAGCCAAAAATGGACTGAGCCTGCACTACAGTGCCATCCAAGGGTGGCCCTGAAAGATGTTGGTGAGAGAAAATCCCTCCAATAGGCAGAGATTTTGCCAAAGCACCTGGTCATCTCACGGCAAGAGAAGAGACCTGAAATAAGGATATACTCGTATTCATGGGCAGTGGTGAATGGCTTAGCTCTTTATTGGTCAGGGGCCTGGGAAAAACAAGTCTGGACTATCAGAGACAAAAAGGACTGGGAAAGAGGCCTGTGGATCTCTGAGAGTGGCAAAAAGTACGAAGATAACGTATCACATTTCAATACTCACCAAAGAGCATCCATTGCAGAAGCAACACCAAACAACCAAGTGGGCAGGATGACTCGGCCAGTGGACGTCAGCCAGTCTCTGTCCTCACTCGTCATCCTCCAACCAGTCCTTGCACCATATGGGCTCATGAACAGAGTGCCATGGTGACAATGACGAAGTTATATATAACCCTAACAGCCTTGGCTTCCTCTCCCCAAGGCTGATCTAGCTACTGTCACTGCTGAATGCCCAACCTGTCATCAACAGAGACCCAAGCTGAGCCCGTGATACAATAACATTCCAGGATGAAACCAACTAGCCACTTGGTGACAAGTTGATTATGTAGGACCCCTTCCCTCATGGGAAGGGCAGTGATTTGCCCAGACAGGATGGATGCATATTCTAGGTATGAATTCACTTCTCCTTCCAATGGAGCCTCAGGCCATTGGCACTATGGCTCACCAAGAGTCTGATTCACTGACATAGGCCCTCAGTTGACATCATTGCAGACTAAGAGAGCTGAGTCACCATGATTGCTGCATGGCAGTGGGCACACGACTGTGAAATCCACTGGTCCTTACACATTTCACAACATCTAGAATCTGCCAGTCTATAGGGGATAGAGTTGCCTCTTAAAGACACAGCTGAGGTACCAACTGGGAGGCAATACCTCATCAGTGTGAAGGATATGGGGTGCTATCCTTCAGGTTGTCCTATACATCCTAAATCAATGACCCCCATTCCCAACAATAGGCAGATAAAATAAACTTAATGTGAGAAGTGACTGGATCTGAGCAGTGCAAGGGGTGGGCTGTAGTAGACGCTGTGGCACCCTGCCCAAATCCCTTCTGCAGGGCAAGGCACCCCTCCCCTGGCTGCCGTGAGTGTTGGCTCTTCACAGCTTACAGCCCACAGCCCCCTTTCTCTGGAGAATTGCCCTGAGGTGACCAGAGCTGTCTCACCTGGGAAGTTCCACCCTCTGGATGTGGCCCACAAAAAATGGCTAATCTAGAGTACAAAGTGCCTGCCCTCTTGCCTTAAGGATCTGGCTTATGCTCCAAAGTCTTTGCTCCATGATCCAGCCAAGGGCAGCCTTTCTCCAAGCCCCTCTCATTGTTCATCTCTTCCCCCTCCTTACTCTGCTTCTCTCACTCTTACAGATTGTTTCTGGATAGCAGTACCTTTAGTGAATAAATCAACTTCACCTGGCTGCAAAAAAAGTATTTCTCTGCTCAACAAAACAGAACCAAAAGCTGCTGCTGAGTGCTAATGATGCAAGGGCACAAGTATGGGCAGGTAGCTGAGAGAAGCAGAGAGTGTGACAACTAGAGAGCACTGATTGTGACCAAGGGGCATCTGCTTCTCTGGGTGTTTGTTGCCAGGTGAGAATGCAGACCCAGCTGTTGCTAGACTTCTGATTTTCCAAGAGAATCTAGAAATGCAGGTTTTTAAAAAAAGTTGCAAATAAGCAAACAAAAATGTGTACAGACACCTATGGCCTAAATAAAGTCCAGGTGTGAGCTGCATCTGCCTCAGTGGTCCCCAGTCCCTGACCTCTGACCCAGGGCCAAATGCTGGTTTAAGTGGCGGGACTGAAATGCAGCCCAGCCCCGTGAGACTCTGGAGCTTAACCACCAAGTTCTATACCTCTAGATTAGCTGGAGAGACCAGTCCCTGCCTAAAGCAGAAATACCCATGGTCTGCAGATCCCAAGACCGGACCCATCTGCCACCATCCCCAGCCCTGAACATGCTGTCTTTGGCCACCATAACACACTACCCTGTTCTCATGCCCATATCTTTGCCAATGTCTGCCCCTCCTCCTGGAATGCCACTCTAGACTTTTGGGAATGCCTGTGCACCCTTATCCTCCTTCCCTGGAAACTGCCATCTGCCGCTGCAGAAGGGCAGACATGTTTGACCCACATGACCAAACCCCCCTTGACCCCAGCCCATTAGACCAGGAGGGACACGTGTCGCGAAGGACTAGCTGGCCAGTGACCAATCATGTTACCCCTGCCCCAGTCAAGAATCTGACCTGAGGCACAAAGATTGCAGGTGCCATTGTGGCCCCGGCTGGATCTAAGGCCTGACCTGCCTCTTCCCCTGCTCTCAGTGGATCTCTGTTACTAGGCTCAGTCTTTGCCTTTGACTTTTTCCCTCCCCTCCAGGCTGCATGATTTCCCTTTTTCTTTTTATGACTTTGCTTATATCAAAAGTTAAGTCTTATGTCAACCTTGTCATGAGAACAAAAGAAGCTTTCTAGCTTTTAACTAAAAGGATGTCAGTTAACAACGGAAATATATGTCAAACAGAAACAGGGTCTCAGCTTTGTGGTCTTGGGAACCCTCTCTTCCTATTACTACTGCTTATTATCCAGGACCTGGCGTCTTCCCTTTGTCACCCAGGGCCCGGTGTCTTCCCCTCACCACCCGGCACCTAGTAGTCTTCCCTGGAGCTAGTGTCTTCCCTGAGAGGCAAGACAGACCAGCCCAGCCAGAGTGCTGCTGGTAACATCACAGAGACGGCAGGCCCCATCTTTGGCAGCTCCCCAGACTCTCTGTGGTTTGGTTTTGTAGCCTGACACTCGAGGTGGCTCACAACTTCCTTCTGGAGTGAACATTTAACATCCTGCCTGCCCGTCACCCCTCCCTTCTTCAGGGAACCGTACTCGCTTTCTTCTGAGCATCACTCTGCGCCTCTTACTGCCCCTCTCTGATATGTGAGCCAGGCCATGCTGCTGTAATAAACACCAAACTATCAGTGGCTCAAGACAATGCCCATGTCACAGCCCAATGTGGGTGCCCCTGGTTGGACGCTGTCTATGTGGTCATTCACTAACCCAGGTCCTTCTCATCTGGTAGCTCTGCTCTCCTTAAAATTTTCTGCATTCAGCTGGCAGATGAGGAAAACCAAAGGAGTATCCCATAGAGAGTAAGTTTATGGGCCAGGCCCACATTTATTGGCTAGAGTTCAATCTCATGACTGTGATTGACCTACAATTTCAGTTAGCTACACCTAACTACAAAGGTAGCAGGGAGGGTCTTCAGAGAGAAGGCAAAGATCCAGGGAAAGGCACTTCAGCTATGTGCCTAGACAGGAGACAGAGTCCTAGGGAAGGATTCTGTTTGTTCCAGCTGGGTTCTGTGTCCATTCCCTGGCCTGGTCATTTTGAACTGGAAGGCAGAGTTGTTATCAGCTCCCATGGATTCAAATGAACATTTAGACAGTGTATCAGTTAGGTTTTGCGGCAGAACAAACAGCTATTTATTATTAATGGCCTAAAACAACCATTCATTTTTGCCTCTGAGACTGTGGGTTGAGTGAGAAGTTCTGTCGACTGGGCCAGGCTCATATGATCTCAGTTGGGCTCACTCACGTGTCTGAGGCCAGCAGGCAGGCTAGTTTAGAATGGCCTCACTCGCATATTTGGTAGCTGGCTTGCAGTTAACTGGAGTGAGGCTCCCTGGGCTTGTTCAAATGGTCGCCTCAGGATTGTACAGCATCACTTCAGCCTCATTTCATTGGTCAAAACAAGTCCCAAGACGAGCCGAGATTCAAGGCCTGGGAAAACAGACTTCTCCTCTTGATAGGGACAGCTACAACATCACATTGCAAGTTGCCGTGAATAACGGAAAGAAAATTGCAGGGTAGACAATTGCAACCTACCACAGCCAGTCTCTGCCACATAATCCCCTGGGAGCCAACACAGCCCTGCCTGCCAGTCCACAGTGACTGGTCTGCGGATGCAGGCACCAATCAGAATCCTTCCCTAGCATTTTCCATCCTGGTGCTAGCATATCCCAGTCACACCTGTGTCTTCCTCAGTTACATGAGCCAGTGAATCCCCTTTCACAGAGACCCACATTTGACTTGGGTCTCTACCGGGCACTGCTTAAGCCTCTGGAGAAACATCTGACAAATGCAACCCCTTACTGTTTGGTTGACCCACGCCTAAGGTGCACTTGATGCACCGATGGACGCAGGATGGATTCACGAAAGGGCTGTGAGAGAGATGTGGACATGAACAGGGCTAGTGGCAATTGGCCCTTCTCCCAGCCAGGCCATGTTACTCCAAGGAGAGGCGTGAGTTGCCTGGTGTCCACCTGGGGACTCAGAGACTCCAGGGTCAAACTGAGTATGGTCAGGGACTGGGACCACATCACCCATCCCAGGGATGATGGTGATGGGGACCCAGAATCCTGAGCACTTTGGGGGCCCCTGACCCCCTAGAATGCATGCTCAGAAGATTCCACTGTGGCTGGACAGAGTGAGACTACCAGTGTAATTGTCAGTCAGGGAGGTTTGGGTGCCAGCAACAGAAGCTTATTTTGATCACCTTAAGGGAAGGAGAAAGGGTATTTGTTGGTAGGATGTGAGTGAGTGGAAAGGTGGAGGGAAGAATGGAAAATACGCTCAGAACAGACAGGAGCCTGCCCTAGACAGGCTTGTCAGCAGGAACTGGTGGCCTTATCTGGCACTGATATAGGAAAGAACGGACTAATTCCACCTTTTCCCCCCTGTCTAGGTGTCACCTCCTGCCAGAGAGCATCTGGTTGGTCAAGCTGAGGTCATAGACACACTGCCCCCACCGCACAGACCTTTTCTTCACTAATGGTAAGAGAAAAGGGTCTGCTGGAAGGTGCCTCAGGGGCCCCTTTAGTTTATTCCAGGGATTAGCAAACTAATTGGGGTCCAAATCCAGCCAGGCTCCTGTTCTTATGCCCCTGATCTAAGAATCGATTTTATATTTTTAAGTGATTACATTTTAAATGATTGTATAAGTACCTACATCACAGCCTCAATTTTGTCTCTTGGTCCACAAAACCTAAAGTATTAACTATCTGGCCCTTCAAGAAAAAGTGTATAGACCCCTGGCTTATACAGTAGGGCTCAGTCACCTGGGTACATTGATCCAGGAAGACAGGAAGGGCAGCCAGACATGGTGAAGACCATGTGAGTCTGTGTGTGTGTGTGTGTGTGTGTGTGTGTGTGTGTGTGTCTGTGTGTGTCTCCATGTGCGTATCTGTGTGTCTGTGTGTATGTTTCTGTATGTGTGTCTGTGTCTCTATGTGTGTCTGTGTGTGTCAGCAGGGCTCCCTGTGTGTGTCTCTGTGTGTGTGTATGTGTCTCTGTATGTGTGTCTGTGTGTGTCTCCGTGTGTGTCTGTGTGTGTATGTGTGTGTCTGTGTGTCTCTGTATCTATGTGTGTCTGTGTGTATCTGTGTGTCTGTGTGTGTCTGTGAGTGTCTGTGTGTATCTGTGTTTTTGTATGTGGGTCTGTGGGTGTGTCTCTGTGTGTCTGTGTTTCTGTATCTGTGTGTCTGTGTATGTGTCTCTGTGTGTGTCTGTGAGTCTCTGTGGGTGTATCTTTATGTGTCTGTGTGTGTGTTTGTATTTATATGTCTGCGTGTATCTGTTTCTTTGTCTGTGTCTCTGCATGTGTCTCTGTGTGTGTCTGCTTCTCTGTGTGTGTGTCTGTGTATGTGTGTCTGTGTCTCCATGTGTATCTGTGTGTCTCTGTGTGTCTCTATGTGTGTGTCTGTGTGTCCGTGTGTGTGTCTGTGTATACATGTGTGTGTGTCTGTGTTTTCTGTGTGTGTCTGTGTGTCTGTCTCTCTGTGTGTGTCTGTTTCTGTGTGTCTGTGTGTCCATGTGTTTGTGTGTCTGTGCGTGTGTGTCTCTCTGTGTGTCTGTGTGTTTCTGTATCTGTGTGTCTGTGTGTGTTTCTGTGTGTGTCATCAGGGCTCCCTGTGTGTGTCTCTGTGTGTATGTCTCTATGCGTGTCTGTGTGTCTCTATGTGTGTGTCTGTGTGACCTTGTGTGTGTGCATATATGTGTGTGTCTGTGTTTTCTGTGTGTGTCTGTGTATCTGCCTGTGTGCTTTGTTTCTGTATCTGTGTGGTGTTTCTGTGTGTGTCTGTGTGTGTCTGTGTGTCCATGTGTTTGTGTGTCTGTGCATGTGTGTCTCTCTGTGTGTCTATGTGTTTCTGTATCTGTGTGTGTGTGTGTGTGTGTGTCTGTGTATGTGGGTGTCTGTGTGTGTGTGTGTGTCTTCAAACTGAGATGTCTCCCCACCAGCTCTTTCATCTAGGAAGAAACCCAGGAATTAAGGTGACATGATTTGGACAGGATGCTCTTCATTGTTGTTGTCAGGTTAATGGAAGCAATGCTTTGCAGTGCAATTCAGAGCAGGAAGGAGTATGAGCTTTGTAAATGCAGAAAATCAGGGTTACTGTCAGGAAAAGGGTCATGTTGATGTGAAATGGAGAATGTGAATGTTTCTTATAGATCTGGTCACCTTCATCCACCATGTGGGAGGTCCCAATCTCTGAAACTGCCACGTAGAAAGATCTCATGGAGTGACCACATGCAAAGTGAGAGATGCTCAGTGAGCCCTGCTAGCTGAGTCTTTCGAGCCTGGGCCCCAGACCTGTGAGTGAAGACGCCTTCAAGATGAACCCAGCCCAGCCACCATCTGGCCAAGGCTGTGTGCCACCTCAAGGAGGAACCGCATAGCTGAGTCCAGTCAAGCTCTAGATCCCTGAGCAGAATCCGTGATTGTCATGGTTTAAAGCTGCTGTTCTGGGCAAGCTCGCCGTGCAACAATAGAACCCAAATCGCCACCTTGGAGGGAATTCATCTCTGCTGTGCAGGATGTGCTGGATCTGCAGACATTTGCCAAGAGCACAAGTTTGGGGAACGGAGGGATGGGGGTAAACCCTCTCCATCCTCTCCTGGGAACCCCGAGGACCATCCAAACAGGATGCCTGGGCTCAATGATAGTGCAAGGACCCAGAAGGGCCCAGGCTTTCATCATGGCTTCAGGGAATGGTGGGGTGTCCCAGGGAAGGGGAGAAAGAGATGGACTGTGGGAAGAGATGGAAGCTGTGGGAGGGAACTATGGGGAGCTTCCCAGGGGCGTGAAGAGGACCCCTCCTCCACATCCACTAGACAGAGGACACATCCCTGCTGTTTGTGAGGAGAGCATTCTGGTGCTAGGCTGGGCACCTTGCCTAATTCCTCCTAGTCCCAAAGTCTCTGAGACTTCAAAACCATCACCCAAGGCTGGGCATGGTGGCTCATACCTGTAATCCCAGCACTTTGGGAGGTTGAGGTGGGAGGATGGCTTGAGCCCAAGAGTTTAAGACCAGCCTGGGCAATATAGTGAGACCCTGTCTCTACAAAATATTAAAAAAAAAAAAAACTGGGCATGGTGGCACAGATCTGTAGTCCCAGCTACTCAGGAAGCTGCGCTGGGAGGATTGCTTGAGCCCAGGACATTGAGGCTGCAGTGAGCCATCATTGTGCTACTGCACTCCAGCCTGGGAGACAGAGCAAGACCCTGTCTCAAAACCAAACAAAAAACTATCACCCAACCCCACCCTGGGGAAAGGCAGGAGTGGGTCTGGAACTATAAGCTGAGGAGAGGTTCCGCTGGGTCCAGAAAGGAGGCAGCTTCTCCCTTGCCATGGCCTCTGAGCTGAGCAGGGCACCTGCCCCCAGCAGCGTGCAGATGGACAAACAAGAACACATCTGCGAACCTCTTGACTCCAGGAGCAGAAGGGGGCTGGAAGGAGAACTCCTGTCCCGGGTTCAATCTGGAGGGCCTAGGGCTTGGCGCTGCTGGAAGCAGGAAGAGCACCAGCAGCCACTGGAGCAACTTGGGTAATGGGGGCTCCCTCCCCTCCGGCCATTACCAGGAGCTGGAGACAGGAACAGGAACCCCAGGTGGGCCATCTCACCAGCCCTCAGGGGCTTCATAAAGAAAGAAGCTGGAAAGGCCCAAGGATGCAGGCCCCAGAAGCCCCATGCTGCCTGCTGAAGATCAGCCCCCACCTCTGCTGCTGCCACAGTAGACCAGAAGGAGCAAGTGCAAAGAGGAGCCAGGTGTGTGTCAAGGCCTTGGAGGAAAGTGTCACCTCAAGGGGTGCTTTGAGCCACCTTCACCCCATGAGCACTAATCATACCATTAAGGAGGCCTTGCAGGTCCCCCTCCCATACTTCCCATGTGAACTGCACACCTCCTGAGAGAGGGAGCCCCGAGAATGACTTCATGCTCATGTGCTGGTGACTCACCTGAGCTGGGCTGAGGGCAGGGAAGAGGCTCGGGAGACACGCTGCTGCTCCTTGACCATCCTGCCACATGCTGCCCAGCCCGAGTGATGGAAACTAAGGCAACGCCCTGAGATGTGGCCCACAGGGCCATGTGGTTCCTGCTGGGCCTGGAATCACTTCCTGGTATGGTGACACCAATCCTTGGCCCTCAGAGCTGGCCAGGCCACAAGGAGCCTGCCCAGGGCAGGGAGTAAGAGAAGCCAATTGCCATGCTTCTGTAGCCATGTGGTCTCATGCACTCTCAGGGCCTCATTGCCTCACCTGGGCAGTGGGCATCCTGCCTTCACATCTCCTCTCCACAATCCCCGCTTGCTGAACAGAGCGGGTGAGCGAGCAGATGAGACCAGGGCTGTGAGAGGGCTCTGTGGACTGTGGGGGATGCCGCACACAGAGGACGCACTATCCTTGCTCTGATGCCCAGGAGAGGTAGGCCTGGCCCTTACCCTCATGAAGTCCCAGCCTTGTCCGGGAGACCCACTGTGGACTTGTGAAAGTGCAGATGGGTTCGTGTTGAAACGGAAGTGCCTACAAAGCACTGTGGAAATGTGGAGAAGGACGGCAGGCAGGGACTGGGGCACGTCAGGTTGACTAAGTGCTCAATTATTATCTGTTCCTGCACGCCACGAGGGATTTAGTCTGTTTTGTTTGCTGCTGCGTCCCTAGTGCCTGGAATAGAGCCTGGCATACAGCAGGTGCCTAAATAATTGCTTGTTGCATGAATGAATGGATGAATGAATGAGAGAGGGAAGGGAAGGCTGTCAGGTGAGCTGAACCATAAAGGGTGAGTCAGAGGTGAGGTGGAACCGACAGTCCAGGACGCAGGAACAGGACGTGCAGGCACTCAGAGGCCCACGGCAGAGAGTGCATCTGGAAGTGGCGGTTTCCATGGGGCCTGCAGGAGAGGAAGACGATGTGGGGGAATCTGGGTTTGGGAATCTGGGTCTTTACTCTGAGGACAGTAGGGAGCTATAAGGGGTAGCCTGCTAATTGGATGTGGTGGGTTTGGTTTTTCAGATAGCTTTTTCAGGTAGTGTCTAATTCAATGGCTTTTAGTATACTCACAGACTTGTGAACCACCACGATAAATGTTAGAACACTTATATCACCCCAAATAGAGATCCCACACCCACTGGCTATCACCCTCCAACCTCCCATCTCCTCAGCCCTAGAAAAGCACCAATATATTTTCTGTCTGTATAAATTTGCCTACTTTGGACATTTTATATTAATGGAATCATACACAAGGTGGACTTTTGTGATGAGCTTCTTTCACCAGGTGTAACATTTTCAGTGTTCATTCCTGTTGTATATCAGTATCTCATTTCTTTTTATTACCAACTAGTATTCCATTGTGTGGATTTACCGCCTTTTGTCTGTCCGTTTGCCAGCCGATGGACATTTGGGATGTTTAGAAGTGGTTTTTAAAAAGATCCTCGGATGGTTAAAATTAACAAGACTAAAAATACCAAGTGCTGGTGTGGACGTGGAACAACCGGACCTCTCATATATTAGTGCTGGGCGTCTATAATGGTATGACCACTTTGGAAAAGTTTGTCAATTTCTTATAAAGATAAACATATATTTACTGTATATCCCAGCGATTTAACTTACAGGAATTTACCCAAGAGAAATGAAGACATATCCACACAAAAACACGTACACAAGTGGTCAGGGCAGCATTATCCATAACAGTAAAAATCTGGAAACAGTCTAGTTGTCCATCAACATGAGAATGAATAAACAAATTGAGTCATGTTTATAAAATGGAAACTTATCCAACAATAAAAGTCACAAAAGATGGATGAAGACGAAAAGCACAGTGGGTGAAAGAATCCAGACATAAAGGAGCATTAATGTATAATTACTAAAAAATTCTATTTTATGTGAAGCTTAAGAACCCACAAAGCTCATTTCTGGGGGGTAGAAGTCAGCACAGAGGGTTTTTTGGGTGTAGGCTGGGTGACTGGAGGCAGGGGTAGAGAAAACTTTCCAAGGTAATTGAAGTATTCTATGCCTTGACATGACTGGGTATTGGTCGCACAGGAGTATGCATTTATCAAAACTCTTTAAACTTCATTCTTAAGATCCATGCATTGTATTGAATGTCAATTATGCCTGAATAAAGGAGGGGGAAAATGTTCCACCTGGAAGAATGAAGGAGACTGGACTTTGGGGCTAGGATTGGAGGGCAGGGAGGGGCCTACTGCAGTCTCTAAGGTAGGGGGCCGCAGAATGGGGAGGAAGGATGGACCCGAGGGATGCCAAGGAGGTATAGAGGAAAGGGTGGATGCCTGATTGGCAGGAGTGGGGTCAGTGGGAGAGAGAGGGGGCAAGGGTGACTCAGGTTCCTCTCTTGGCACCTGTGATGGGTTAGTCCTCAGCCTGGTCCAGCTCCATCCCGTGGGCTTCCTGGCTGAGTGAAGCCAGGCCCCGGCTGACTCACTTCTGACCATGAGGTGTGCCCTGCCCTGGTCAGCCGGCCTCACAGGCTCACCTGTGTCAGCCTCCTGTGATGCTCCCTGACTCGCGGGAGGAGAAGCCCAGATGACTTGGGCTTTGTGCAGTCAGCTGACAGAGCCCTCTAGCTCTCCAGATGTGCTTGGCAAGCCAGTTGGGCTCATGGGTGGCTTGGGGTGCCCAGGGAACCTTCAGAACCTGCATTGAGAATGGCCTTGGAAGTGTAGCACAATCTTTCTGTATTACAGAGGAGAAGACTGAGGCCCAGGAGGGCAGGAAGTAGCTCCAGGTCCCCCTCTTCCCACCTCCTCCCTATTCCCCTCTGATTTCAGCTCTGCAGCTGGTACAGTGGCCCACACTGGAGACAGAGGAGGGGCAGTGGTGGGAAGCCCCCAGGAGTCATGACCCCTCAGAGTACAGCACACTAGGGTGCGGAGGCATAGACACCCTTGGCCAGCGCTCTCTGAGTGCCTCAGCAGCTCAAGTGTGCGGTGGCCTTGGGAAGAGCTGGTGGGAAAGTCCCAGGCATGTGTCATCCTGTTGTCATCTATCCCACCCCGGGGACTTCCCCATATGAGCATCTTCTCCTCGTCATCTAGCCCAGCCCCCTTGCCTCAGACAAGGACTTCTCAATTCCCGTGAGATGTATTATGCTGTGTTCTGAGAACCAAGCCTCTTGGAAGGGGAGGAGAGATAATGCACCTTCTGGGCTCTGCTTCCACGCCAGCACACTGAACTCTTCTGGAATAAAGGAATTGTGTTTGTGTTTTAAAAATGCTTTATTGAAGTATAACAAAAATATAATGAGTACACAGATCATCAATGTAGAGTTTGGTAAATATACACATATGTACACCATGCAGATCAAGATTTAGAACACTTCCAGGACTCCAGAAGGCTGGCTCCCTTGTACCCACTTCCAGTGACCCCCTCCCCCAAAGTAGCCCCTATTCTGACTTATCTCACCATAGATTAGTTTCACCTACTCTTGTACTTTCCATAATCATATAGCATATCCTCAAGATTTTTGTAGCCTCTAGTCCCAGCTACTTGGGAGGCTGAGGTGGGAGGGTCGCTTGAGCCCATGAGATGGAGGCTGCAGTGAGCTGTGTTTACACCACTGTACTACATCCTGGATGACAGAATGAGACCTTGTCTCAAGGGAACAAAAAAGGACTCAAATTAAAAATTTTTAAAAATTAGTGTGCCACAGATGCCGAGGTCTTCGGCCATGCCAATTGTCACTTGAGCTTCTAAACTGTCCCCATTAGAGTCAGGGCTCATCCTCTGAAGGGGCCGTGCTTCCAATCTTCCCTGGTGCAGTGATTTTAAAACATGCAATTTCTTTTCCACCCCTGGCATTAAGAGGTGGAGTCTTATTCCTCTTCCCTTGAATATGGGCTGGCCTCTGTGACTCACTTCTAACCAGCAGCATGTGGCAGAAGTAAGGCCATGTGTCTCCCGGCAGTAGGTCATGAAAGCAACACAGCTACTGCCCGGGTCTTGCTCCTGGGCTCTAGTTCTTGATACCCAGCTCCCACACCATGAGGAAGCCCAGGCCACATGGAGAGGACACAGCCTGTGTTCCAGCCGACTGCCCGGCCGAGGTCTCAGCTGCCAGACACATGAGTGAGATTCATCCATGTTGCTGCCTGCATCAGTAGCTGTTCTTTTTTATTGCTGAGTAGTATTCCACTGTATGGATGTACCACAATGCATGTATTCACCCTACTGTTCATGGGCACTTCGGTTGTTTCCAGTTTGAGGCACCTATGAACATTCACTTGAAGTATTTGTGTGGACATACATACTCATTTCTCTTTTTTAAATTTAAAATTTGTTTTTTTTGAGACAGAGTCTCTCTTTGTTGCCCAGGCTGGAGTGCAGTGGTGCAATCTAGGCTCACTGCAAGCTCCGCCTCCTGGGTTCACGCCATTCTCCTGCCTCAGCCTCCTGAGTAGCTGGGACTACAGGTGCCTGCCACCACGCCCAGCTAATTTTTCGTATTTTTAGTACAGACAGGGTTTCACCGTGTTAGCCAGGATTGTCTCAATCTCCTGACCTCATGATCTGCCCGCCTCGGCCTCCCAGAGTTCTGGGATTACAGGTGTGAGCCACCACACCCAGCCTTTAATTTTAATTTAAAAAAAAGTAGAGATGAGGTCTCATTATGTTGCCCAGGCTGGTCTCACACTCCTGAGCTCAAGTGATACTCGTTTCTCAGTCTCCCAAAGTGCTAGGATCACAGGGATGAGCCACCATGACTGGCCCTCATTTCTTTTAAATATATGCCTAGGAGTGGAATTTCTGAGTCATAGGTAAGCATATTTTTAGCTTTAGTAGATAACTGCCAAACAGTTTTCTAAAGTTATTGTACCAACTGACACTCCCACTAACAATGTATGGAAGTTCCAGCTATGCCACATCCTCAGCAACCCTTTTTAATTTTAGCCATTTTAGTGGGTATATAATAGTATCCCATTGGGGCTTTAATTCGCTTTGTCCTGATGACCCTAAAGATGCTGTCTGTCTACCTTCTCACATGATTATTGGTCATTTGGATACCTTTTTGTGTATATGTGAAATGCTTGCTCAAGTTTTTTGACCACTGTCTATTGGGCTGTTTACCATTTCTTATTGATGGATGTAAGTTCTCTATACGTAGTGAACATGAACTTTTGTCAGATGTATGTATTGTGACTATCTTGTCCTACTTTGTAGTTTTTTCCTTCCTTCCTTCCTTCCTTTCTCCCTTCCTTCCTTACTTCCTCCCTTCTTTCCTTCCTTCCTCCCTTCCGTCCCTCCTTCCTTTTCTTTCTTTTGATTCTCTGTTGCTCAGGCTGGAATGCAGTGGTATGATCCTAGCTCACTGCAACCTGGAACTCCTGGACACAAGCAATCCTCCAGCTTCAGCCTCCTAAGTAGCTAGGACTGTATACAGGCACATGCCACCATGTTCAGTTCAATTAAAAAAATTTTTTTTTTGTAGAGACAGAGCTGTGCTATGTTTCCCAGGCTGGGCTTGAACTCCTGGTTTCAGTGGATCCTCCTGCCTTGCCCTCCCAAAACACTAGGTTTACAAGCATGAGCCACTGCACCAGGCCTGTAGCTTCATTTCTTAATTCTGTTTCGTTAATGTTGTCTTTTGATGAATACAGGTTGCTAATGCTAATGAAGTCTAGGTTATCTGCCTTTTCTCTTATGTTTCATGCCTTTTGCAGCCTCTGTAAGAAATCTTTGAGAAGCCTGTTTTGTGCTGGCCAGGGTTATGCCAGCTTCCATTCTGTCCTTGCTCCAGTGTAGGAGTCAGTCCGTTATTTACTCTCCTGCCATCTGTCCATCAATTCACCTGCCCACCTATGCATCCACCCACCTACTCATCTCCCCATCCATACTCTATCACCATTCATACATTTACCCATCCATCCACCCACTGATCTACCAATATTTATTGCCATCACTGTGAGCTGAGTGATGACAGGTATTAAGAGACTGAGATGGTGGAGGAGCTACTGAGATGAACAAGACCTCCAAGGAGCTTATAATCTGATGGGAAAAGCACAATATACGCAAATCCTCGACAGATTTTTATCTACCCTCATGTTGTTCCGAAGTCTGTAGCTTTCATTCATTACTCTCCGGAACCTCCATCCATTTGTCCTTGTTCTGTGACACTCCTTCCAATATTTGGAGATTGTCTGATTTCCACAGGCCTGAGCTGCAAATAGAATACCCGACCTCCCTTGTTACAGAGACTTGGCCTTTATTGATGTGGCCTGAGATGGTTGCCAGCCCTGACCCATCAATGGCTTAAATTCTGCTTGTGAGCAGCCTGTATTCAGAGAAGTGTGACCCAGTGGGGGGACCACTTCTCCCAGGGCTGACTGACCAGCTGTGGGGGTTTGAAGGCTGGCTCTGTGGGACTGGCAGGTGGCCCAGTCTGGCAGCAGAGAGGCAGGCAGTGGGCCTCAGCAGGAGTTTCAACAGGCTGACGGAGTGGGCAGAGAGGAAAATGGGGGTGGGTATAAGCTGTCACACTAAAGGGTAGACTCCTTCCTGGCTTGAAAATAGGGTGGATTCTGGCTCTTTTTTGCCGGGTCTCAGGTCAAGCTGGGGCCTAGGGTCTTGAGGTGGGGCATGGGGATAGTGGCAGGGAGGTCAGTAGGCCTCTACTCCTCCTGAGAGGCCCCCATCTGGACTCTAGCCATGAACTGGGCTAAAGTACCGCAGCTCCCCAGCCCTAGCCTCTGCCTGCCTCTCTCACCTTGACCTCTTCCTAGGGGCAGTGGCTCAAAACCAACAAAAACAACAAAGATCCCGCCAGCCCTGTCCTCAACATAGCCAGGCCCTGGTCACTCCTCTGAGAACTGACTGCCCAGAACTCCCCAGCAGGCCTGGCTGTGGTCCCGCCTGGCAGCACCTGCCCTCTCGAGGACACTGACCCTTTGTTGGAGGAGATGGCTTGTGGGGACAGCCTTGAGGAGGGGCTGAGCTGAGCGGGTCAGGCTGGCGCCAGGCGAGACCAGGAGCCTCAGCACACAAGGCCTCCTATACAGTGGCCTAGCCGGGGCAAGACCGGGCCCTGAGCAACAGTCCAACTGCAGAGTCTGATGGGGCTGGAGCCGGGGTCAGGACCAGGGAGGGTGAGCAGGGCCTCTACACTGGACACGCAGAGTCCTTCCTCTCTCCCTCCCACCTCTCTCCCCTGAGCTTAGCCCCTCTCCCTACGGTGACCCTGCCAGCTCCAGCCCAGGGGAACCACACCCACACCTGCCAGGGGTGACTGGACCCACCTTTCTTGTCCCTCCACCAGACAGAGAACCTCAGAGTGGCCTCTCTGCTACCTCTTTCCTCTGAACTTAGGGGTAACAAAGGCACCCTGGCTGGAAGTCAGCCCTTCCTGGCCTCAGTGCCTGAGCTGACCAGAGGCAGGTCTGGGCCTAAAGGAGGTCATTTCTGGCCTTGCTCTGTGGCAGCCTAACACTAAGTGTTTTCCCTGTGGCATCTCATTGGACCACACAGCAATCTCTGGAGGAGGTACCGATATTAGCAGCATAAATCAGTGGGGAGCCCAGGTGTGAGCCCAGACTGTCTGATCCCTGGATAGTCCGCACAGCATGGGGAGGTGTGGGGGGAAGAGGGAACTTGTTCCTCCTCCTGACGGAGATGGGGAATGGCTGGTGGATCTCACAGGGGGGTGTGCATTTTAGAGCCATGACTCTAGACACAGAATTTGGGCAGAGGGCTGTGCCCAGAGGTGGAGAGATGAGAGAGAAGGCTGTGTGACAGTCTGGGTAGCAGCCACAGGAGCAGCACAGGGGTCTCCCTTTAGGAAAGAATTTGCTGCTCAGCTGCAAAGAGTGCAGACCCTGCAGGAGTGGCCTCAGCCATCAAGAAGAGACCATGCTCTTCTGGGCAGCCCCAGTAAATACTGAGCGCAGCAGGCCTGGCCATTTGAGCTCAGTGGGGATGCCTTTTATGGCCACCTGTGCTCAAGAACTCCTGCTGGGTTGGCCCAGGACTGGGAAGATCTGTGTCGCTGTCTGAGGCTGTTCCTGCCCAGCCCTGCTTCCCCACTGGTCTTCCACAGGCAAGACGCCCCTGTAAAACCACGTGGGCTCTCAGCTATGTCTCAGCCCGTGCTTCCTGCAGGACCCAGGACAGAACTTCAGCTACTGCAGCGGCAGAAGGGAGGGATGGGAAGGAAACTTCACCTCTGTGCTACCGCCCACTAATGGCATAAGCTCACTCAACCTCTGGGTGCCTCAGTTTCCTTGTAAAATAAAGTTAATTATCTCTGGATAATAATCTCCTCCTCATGGAATTACTATGGGGACTCAATGATTGAATGAATGTGGAGAGCTCAGCACAGTACTTAGGTTACTTAATGTACACAGTTATTGAGACTTTTGGCTGCACTTGTAATGAATAGCTTGACAGGTTTCTCTTTGCTTTACTGTAAGCTCCTTGAGGACAGGGACCAGGCAGGTCCATTTAGCACAAAGCTTGACACCAGTGGGTGCTCCATAAAGGTTTGCTAGAGGAATGAATGGATAGGAGTAAATTAGATGGGGGGTTGTGCACAGTGGCTCACGCCTGTAATCCCAGCACTTCAGGAGACTGAGGCAGGAGGACTGCTTAAGGCCAGGAGTCCAAGACCGACCTGAGCAACATAAGGAGACCTCATCTCAAAAAAAAAAAAAAAAAAAAAATTACATAGGGATGCACCAGCCAAATATGACAAGATGACACCCAGTTTGTACTGGGATGCCTGGGTGGGTGGTCATGCCGTTATCTGACATGGGTGTCTAGAAGGAGAGGTGAGGTGGGGTGGGGATGGATAATGACTTCCCACAGGGCTATGGTGTTTGGGGGGTTCTGTAGACCTACCACATGAACAGAGCCCAGGCTGAAGGAGGTGCCTGACCAGGGCTCCTGTCAAACGCCATCAGGAATCCACTGCATGCCCTCAACAGGAGTTCTGGTTATCTCTAGCTGTGTAACAAATCACCCCAGACCTAGTGGTGTGAAACAACCTCACTCTATCATCCTTTCTCGCAGTTCTTAGCACTGACTGGGCTCAGCTGGGCGGTTCTCACTCAGGGCTCTCGGGTGGCTGCAGTCTGATGGTAGTTGGGTCTGGAGTCCTCTCAAGGCCTCCTCACTCATGTGTCTGGCAGCTGAGACCTCGGCCGGGCAGTCGGCTGGAACACAGGCTGTGTCCTCTCCATGTGGCCTGGGCTTCCTCATGGTGTGGGAGCTGGGTATCAAGAACTAGAGCCCAGGAGCAAGACCCGGGCAGTAGCTGTGTTGCTTTCATGACCTACTGCCGGGAGACACATGGCCTTACTTCTGCCACATGCTGCTGGTTAGAAGTGAGTCACAGAGGCCAGCCCATATTCAAGGGAAGAGGAATAAGACTCCACCTCTTAATGCCAGGGGTGGAAAAGAAATTGCATGTTTTAAAATCACTGCACCAGGGAAGATTGGAAGCACGGCCCCTTCAGAGGATGAGCCCTGACTCTAATGGGGACAGTTTAGAAGCTCAAGTGACAATTGGCATGGCCGAAGACCTCGGCATCTGTGGCACACTAATTTTTAAAAATTTTTAATTTGAGTCCTTTTTTGTTCCCTTGAGACAAGGTCTCATTCTGTCATCCAGGATGTAGTACAGTGGTGTAAACACAGCTCACTGCAGCCTCCATCTCATGGGCTCAAGCGACCCTCCCACCTCAGCCTCCCAAGTAGCTGGGACTAGAGGCGTGAACCACCCCCAACTAAGTTTTTCATTTTTTTGTAGAGATGAGGCCTTGCTGTGTTGCCCAGGCTGGTCTTGAATTCCTGGTCTCAAGTAATCCTCCCGCCTCAGCATTCCACAGTGCTGGGATTACAGGTGTGAACCACCCATGTCTAGCCATAGTTGAGTCTTAATAGTAGCTGCTCCATGAAGAAGTGTGAGTGAATTCATGAGTAAGGGAGAGTGACCAGGGCCTGGACAGAGTCCAGCTCTCAAACTTGGACTTTGCCTGGTCCCCTCAGCCTTCTGTGTCTGGACTCTGCCCATTCAGGGTCTAGGATGGAGACCTGTCTTGCTTTTTCCAGAATTTGACCCTGTCCTCTGTCCCAGGCTTGGGGTCCTACTATTGGAAACCCTATATGGATGACCACTGCCTGCCTACTGGCCACCAGTAAAGACTTCATGAGTAAGGGAGAGTGACAGGTCTGTACCACCATGCCTGCCTAATTTAAAAAAATTTTTAATTTGTGTAGAGATAGGGTCTCACTATGTTGCCCAGGCTGGTCTCAAACCTCTGGGCTCAAGCGATCCTCCTGCCTCAGCCTCGCAAAGTGCTGAGATTAATTTGGGATCCATCTGGTTACTTGTTGATTCCTCTGGTGTCTACTAAGATCCTTATTTTCATCTGGCTCTGGTCCACTGACGCAGTCCCTATTGTCATTTCCTTGTCCAGCCACATGGCCTCCAGGTCTTCAGGCTCCTGGGTCACTCTGTGCCTTCTTGGGCCTCCAGGAAATCTGTTCATGGCTGCTGGGAGCCCTACCTGTCTGGACACACCAGGCAACCAGGTTGCATTCCCCACCAGGGAAGGGCCTGGCTCTGGATTCTTGCTCCTTTCTTCGACTCTACTCAGAAACACGGCTCAGGATGCCTCTGCTTTTGGATTCCTGGAGTTCATCTGGGGTTTCTCACATCCCCTGATGGGTCTTACTCCCTTGCTTCCCCTCCACTCCCTTCTTCCTCCAACCATGAGGGTCTCTTGCAGGTTGGGGGTGAATGAAGGTCGCATCTGAAAGGGAAGGCTGGCTGAGTGATCATGTATATTTTCTAAACCAACTGGCAAGTATCCTAACTTTTTTTTTTTTGAAACCTTAAAGCCAAGTATTGACATCTTTGTCCTTATTTCTGAAGTCTGCTTGCCCCAAAGCATGGAAGGAAAGGGCTGGGAGAAATAAAGAAACACAAGTTACTCTTCCCAACTGTGCCAGTGGAGCCTTTAAAGTGCAGAGTTTTAAGCCAGGTATACCACCAGATCGTTGCCTAGTTTTCCTTATACTTCCTTGCATTTGCTTCTGTGCTTAGAAAACTTTGACCACTTTGAAACCAGTAACCATATGTCAGTATTCTCTTCCGGCCTTTATGGTTTCATGTTACATTTTACTCACCGATATGCCAATAAATAACTCTGGAGGCTGAGGCAGTTGGATAACCTGAGTTCAGGAGTTCAAGACCAGCCTGGCCAACATGGCAAAACCTCATCTCTATTAAAAATACAAAAATTAGCCAGGTGTGGTGGCACACACCTGTAATCCAGCTACTCGGGAGGCTGAGCTCTGAGAATCACTTGAACCCCGGAGGTGGAGTTTGCAGTGAGCCAAGATAGCGCCACTGAACTCCAGTCTGGGTGACAGAGCGAGGCCCTGTCTCCAAAAAATAAAAAATAAGAAAAAAAAATAAACCCAACAAAAAACCCCCAAAAAACAAAACTCTGAGGTTGCACGCTGCACTTTCTGTTCCCCCAAGCAGCCTCAACTTAGGGGGTCTAAATCGCAGAGTCTCTGAACCAGAAGGAGCCAGACAGGTCACCTGGCCCCACCACTTAGCCCAAGCAGCCATCTTCTGTGGCATCCCTGCTTGGTATCTCTCGCACAGCTTCAGCCATGAGGAGCTTCTTACTTCAAAGTATCATTCTGCAATATTGCTGACTGGTAGGAAGCTTTCTGTCTAAATGAACCCAAATCTGGCTCCTGCTCATCCTGGTCAGGCCTATGAAGCCCCACTGTGGCCTCTGCCCCAGTGCAGCCCTCAACTCTCTAGAGATGGCATTGTGTCCACCCCACCACACTTCTACTGTGACCAGCTTTAGTTAGATCTTCTCCGAACACCCTTGATTCGCAGGGTCCCCTGCTCCTTGATTCTCTGCTGAATGGGCTGGGCCTGTCCCCATGGAGCTGAAGCTTCCGCTGTGATCCCGAGATATGCCTGGACTCACCCAGCCCCAGGGCCTGTGATACGGACCCTCTGTCCTAGGAACATAGGCTGCTAGTTGGTCAACTGTTTGAGCCTTTCTGCTCATCTACAATCTGAGATCTTTGTCACATAAATTGAGGCCTCTCTCAGCCTGACCTGCTGATCTTTTGTACTAAAATTCAACAGTAGCAAAGATAGCATTAGAGGCAGGAGCCAAGTTCTGGGATTAAGCAGAGCAAGGCCAAATACAGGCTGTTCCACTACTCACTTAACACAAGGGAAGACCCAGGTAACCTTGGATGGCTTATGACTTCTGCCCACTTTGGAGGCCCTATTTATAAAAAGTAGTTAATACTAGTACTTGTTCTCAAGGGCCATGTGGGGATTAAGAAATAATGTTATAAATCCTTACCATGTGCAGTGTATTAAGTGCAGCAAAAGGTAGCTATTCTTATTACCATAGTGCTTATCTTCTTCTTCTTCTTCTTTTTTTTTTTTTGAGACAGAGTCTCGCTCTGTCACCCAGGCTGGAGTGCAGTAGCTCGATCTCAGCTCACTGCAACCTCTGCCTCCTGGGTTCAAGCAATTCTTCCTGCCTCAGCCTCCCGAGTAGCTGGGATTACAGGCACCCACCATGACGCCCAGTTACTTTTTTTTTTTTTTTGAGACAGAGTCTCGCTCTGTCGCCCAGGCTGCAGTGCAGTGGCGTGATCTTGGCTCACTGCAACCTCCACCTCCCGGGTTCAAGCGATTCTCTTGCCTCAGCCTCCCGAGTAGCTGGGATTACAGGCATGCACCACCATGCCCGGCTAATTTTGTATTTTTAGTAGAGATGGGGTTTCTTCATGTTGGTCAGGCTGGTCTCGAACTCCCGACCTCAGGTGATCTGCCCGCCAAGGCCTCCCAAAGTGCTGGGATTACAGGCATGAGCCACTGCGCCCGGCCTAATTTTTGTATTTTTTAGTAGAGAGGGGGTTTCACCATGGTGCTTATCTTCATTTGAAGAAAAGACAAATACTTGTCATCAAGGGTGGACCATACTGATCAGAAGGTGGACAATATGGATCACAAGGTAAGCATTGTTGACCAGAAGGAGATTTATTCTAATGGAGCAAGGAAAGGTATCAATGTGAGTTAGTCAGTGGAGGTTAAGAGGGTCAAGTCAGTAGATTCATGAAAATTGCACAGACCAAAACAACAGACCAAAAAGGGAAACTGCAGAATTGGAGGCTGCTTGCTTCCTTGCACCCACAAGGCAGAGAGCCCAGAGCTCAGGTGAAGTCTGACTGAGCAGCATTTTAGGCTTGGCAAAGTCTTGGGCCCCACTCCTAGACAACTGGCAGTGGGATCCTCTCCTGAGGATAATGATGCATTGAGAAAAGCCACTGCAAATCAGTAAACAGTAAATAAAGGTGGCAATGGGGCATGCACCAAGGACGAATCTGGACTGGACTTGGCAACCTTGCGGGTCCTGCTGACCAGGTACTTTTCTATTGACTCTGGGCAGGGACTGTGTAAATGAAGTCAGTGTGTGTTTCTATGTTACCCAGCTGTACTGTTGGGTGTCGCCCTGCAGGGCTGAGCCAATGGTAGATTCTCTAGGGTGAGAAGACCCAGTCAGTGGGAGAGAGTGCAGATATGGATTCAGCCAGGCCTGGGTTGAAATCCAGCTCAGCCATCTGGTGTCCATCAGGTGGGGACAACAGACCCTCCCTTGCAGAGTTATCATGAGGACTACATAGGATCATAGATCTCAATCACTAAGCACAGTGTCAGGCTAGCTGGAAGAAAACGGCTGCGTGGAGGGGATGATGTCTGGCACAAGCCAGCTCAGAGGCACCACTCAGAGCCCACCTGCCCCTGGAGACACAGAGCCAGGTGAGTCAGGAAGAATTCCACTCTCCACTTGGCCCTAGTGTGACCTTGGGCACATCATTAATCTCTCTTGGCCTCCATTCCTTTATTTGTAAGACAGGGACAACAAGCTCCACTTTGCAGGGTCACCCTGAGGCTCAGAATGACATCTACAAAGTGCGGAGCCCAGCACGGAGGTATTAAGTGAGGCCCCGTCCCCTTCCCAGAGGCCAACAGGATGCCATGGCCAGACCCTCAGGCCCTCCCGCTGAGGACTCTCTCCCAGCTCCTCCACTCTCCCAAGCTTCAATCAGTCTCCCTCAGAGGCATGAGACAGAAATAACCAGCCCATTCCACGTCTTTACAAAGACAAGGAAGTCCTGTCTCTTGGACCAGTTCTCCCTGACCATGCCCGTGAGGTCCTTGCCAAGAGCTGGTGACCAAGCTTGCTGAGACAGCAGATCCAGGACTGGCTGTGCATGGAGCAATGGGATCTTCCAGGAGTCCTGGCTGGGGTGGGGTACTATGGGTATGAGTTATCCACTGCACATGGCAAATGACCCAACACTTAGTGGCTTCAAACAACAAACATGGATTATCTTGCAGATACTCCCAGAAGGCAAGCTCTGCTGAGTTGTGAGTTGCAGGGGGCTGTGGCCAGGCAGGTTGTGTGAGAGCCCAGCAGCTGAGGGTGAGCCACACCCTACTGAGCTCCACCCTACCACACTGGCTCCGCTCTCAGTGGCCCGCAGTGATCCAGATCACACGAGTAAAAGACCAGCTGGACTCCAGAGGAGAGCTTCGCCCCATCTTCCCCTTGTGGGTCTCTCTCTGATCACTGTGCCCACCACCTCCCTGGGCCTTAGTGGAACCTCCCTTCTCTGCCTCTGCCTCCCCATCATGGTCTGGTTCTTAGAAGCCAGCAGAGAGAGGATGATGAATGTACTGACTTTGCAAAGGCCACGGGGGACACTCCATCCCCAGAGAGTCCCACAGCAACCCAGTAGAAGGGTCTGGTGGCTTTCTGAGTCGCGGGGAACCTCTCTCTCAGTTTCCCTTCCCATGACAGATGCTATCCTGGACCCCAAACCCCTCAAGCATAACCAGACAGATGAAGTCCATGGCCTCATCCTACCTAAGGACCATTGTCTAGGCTGGCAGCACAGGTTGTATGACCCAGTGACTGGCACTGGTAATGATCTCAGCCTTCATGATATTTAATATTATAGAAACCCCACCTCATGCCCACACCGGGGCTACCTTCACCCCCAGCCCCTCCTGGAGGGTCTCTCCAGAACAACTGTAACTTTGTACCCCACGACAACCACAGCGTTCACTCCTGCCACACACAGGGCTACCTGGGAGAGGTTTGTTCAGCAGTTCCAGCATCTCAGGACACCATAACCTCCTGTCCCTGTCTTTGTCCTTCTGAATCCCCAGGGTGAAGCTCAGGGCTCAGAACACAGTAGGTGCTCTGAAAACATGTCTGCTGAGTGAACTTTGCAGAAAGGGCCCTGGGGAGAGTGAAGAGAGGGTCTGACCACAGTCCTGGTACTGCCCAGCTGTATGGCCTCGGGCCACTCCCCATCCTTCTCTGAGCTTCAGTCCTCTCACCTGTACAGTGGAAATCAGAGCTTACAAACTATCAGCCCAGAGTCCTCATCTAGTTTGGATACGGTGTTTACAGTTCATTCGGTGTTTAATTTTATTTTGAAATTCATTTCAAAAATTTGAAAACTAGATTTCTATAAAACTTAAAGTCTTCAGCTTTTATTGAAAGATGAGAAAACCTGGGTGGCCTGTGTGGACCCATAGTCCCATATACAATAATTGGCTGGCCTGGGCAGCAGCTACCTCTTTACCTGGGACATCCATTAGCTATCTGGATACAGTGCCACCTCCCCTCACTCCCTACATACTTACCAGCTTGCACCACTCATGTGTATCACCTGCCTGGCCCCCGCAGGCATCTGAGTTTGCAACCCCTGAATGAGATTCTGAGCTTAGCACAAACTGATTGTTCTTTGGCTTTGTGAGGCCTAGAGGTGGTGTTACAGGATCCCTAGGTGACAAAACCCATCAGCACCCTGGATAAAAAACCATGTGAGCTGAGTGGAGAGAAACACTGCTGTTTCTGAGGATAACACAGTCTATAAATAGCCTCAGAGCCAGGTGAGTGCTAACACCTGCCTGATGTCACCTGGGCCCGGAGCCCTCAAGGGCTGGGCATGTGTTCAGCTCATGGCTTAGCCTATAGACTATCCTTCTTCCTGATACCACTGAGAACAGAACAGGAAGGGATGACATCATAGCTAAGCCTTTGGGGAAGGTAGGCTTTTCTCTGGCTTAGGAGGTAGTGATGACGTTTGATTTTCCAAAGAGAGTGGAAGGAGTAACATGAATGAAAGAAGCTGGTTCCCAGTCCAGAGTCCTCAGCATGGAGTCTTTGCACTATTCATGGCTCCCCAGTGCTATCCAACAATGTCAGACCTCAGCCAGGCCTTCAGAGCCCTCTGTGATTGGGTCCCCACAGGCCTTTCAGCTCATGCTCACTATTAAAACCATCTCCCTAGTCCCTGAGCTCCATAGCCCCCTGGCCAACTCCACCGTTTCTATCTTACTGTGTTGTCTGCCCAGGCTTATCTCTCTTGCCTCCCCACCCTGTCCCAAGGACCAGCTTCGTGGTGAGAGTGAGAAGGGTTTGACATGCAATAACCCTGATTGTGAAGTCAGACAGACTGGTCCCAGTTCCAACAGCCTGCCCTTGGGCAATTCACTCCCCAGCCCCTGGGGCCTGGCTTCCCCATCTGCAAAACAGAGCTGTCTCTCAGGCAGAGTTCACAGCTGGGAAAGGGTTCTGAGAACTGAAGTGGTCAAGTGAATGAAGGCAGCACTCCCCTGGGGTGGGGATGCTCATGCTTCATCAGGATGGGGCATAAACTGAGTCCCCCCAGGAGCAGGCTTGAGAAACAACAGGGTACGCTGAGCTACCTGCTGTGGCTGAAGGTCCTGTGAGCTCAGGGCCTGGAACTGGCCGCAGGGAAGCCTGGGGCCTTAAGGAAGCTTCATGACAAGGCACATGGCGTGATTCCTCCACTCTCAAATCCACAGGATGCACTGGTAGAGGAAGGTCTGGGACATGTGCTGAGGGCTCAAGTGGGCTCCCCACTCAGGCCTGCTCACCTCAGGGCACAATCATAAGAAAGGAGGGGCTGCTCCCCAGGGCAGAGTGAGGCCCCATTCTGGGCTGGGACCTGGAATGCATCCCACCTGGGCTTCACTGGGTGCCTAGGCCCCTCCTAGGCCAGGAATCGGAGAAGGGGGCTATGAACTTCCAGAAGCCAAGCTAGCCAAACTTCCAGAGGCCAAGCTAGCATTCTTATGAAGCTAGGGCACTGCTCTGACCTCATGAATTTGCTTGGCTGGCATTTTGCTGCCTGACCTGTTCCCATGAGCCCATTCAGGATCTGGGGCAGGTCAGTCCAGAGCTGGTCCCTACTCCTGCCCACCTGCCTCCAAGGCTCAGCCCCACCCCTTTCTCTGACCCCTCAGGCCTCTAACTGAGACCGCAGCTCTCTGAATCCCAAACTGTGAGAAAGACAGTCCAGACTCTGTCCATCACAGATGCCCACAGGCACAGTACTTAGTTGACAAATCCATGTCTCTCTCGTTCATTTTATCCTAAGAACAGACACGAGAAAAAAGCAGGATGAGGAGCATGATCGCACCCTTACCCTCCAGATGGGAAACTGAGGCCCAGAGAGGCCTGGAGCACTGGTGCAAGCTGGTAGCAATACTCCAGGGCTCCCTAGCCCTAGCCAGTGCCTTCCTGTGTCCAGGCCTCAGCTTCCCCTGGGGACAGTACAAGTGTTGGGCCAGATGCTCTCTCAGGTCCCTGCGTGGCATCCATTTATTGCAGACCTCCCACCACCTTGCAGTGAGGGTGGCTCTGGCTGCTGGGAAGCCCACTTTCAGCACGTGGGGTTTAAATGCTCCTGCTGTGGGTCTCCCCACTGAGTCCCCTCCCAGGGTGCATGCTGATGGGAGGGGGCAGCTGGCAGTCTGCCCCGGGGCTGTCAGTGTGGGTCCTAGGAGGAGGGATCAGACCCAGTCCTGGGGAGGGCTGGGGGCCTGAAAGGAGCATGATGAGCCCAGGCTGCGTTTTCAGTCTTGCTAGAAGCAGGTCTGGTCCCCAGAAACAACTAGAGACAGGCCCAGGCCGGGACAAGCAGGCTAGGGGGCATCATGGGAGGTGTCTCAGCTTATCTCCTCCCTCTTGCGCCTCTAGCTCACTAATCCCGCCTCTCATCTCACCTTTCTCTAACCCTCTCAGACTGCAGGACCTAGGGCAGCAGGGAAGCTTATTTGGCCTGAGCCTTACCTGCAAAGGGCTCAAAGGTAGACTTTTGCTATTATATTCAAATTGCAACGTATAGATGCTCATATTTTGGAATTAATTACGTTTTAGCAGTTTTTCTTTTTTTAAAAAAATCTGCTGGTACCTTAATAAACATGGAACCAGCAACCTTTTGCCAGGTGTCTGTTCTCCGGGTCTCTGGGCCTGGAGGCGGGAGTGTTTCAAAGCACTTCACGCTCCGCGGCCCCACCGGCTGGCTGCGCTGCCCGCTGCGGCCGGCAGGGGTAGTCCACGGACAGGCCTGGAGGAGGCGGGACGGGGGCAGGGCCGGGAACCTGGGCAAGCCAATAAAGGCTGCGGCGCGCGGCTGCGCGGGACTCGGCCTTCTGGGCGCGCGCGACGTCAGTTTGAGTTCTGTGTTCTCCCCGCCCGTGTCCCGCCCGACCCGCGCCCGCGATGCTGGCGCTGCGCTGCGGCTCCCGCTGGCTCGGCCTGCTCTCCGTCCCGCGCTCCGTGCCGCTGCGCCTCCCCGCGGCCCGCGCCTGCAGCAAGGGCTCCGGCGACCCGTCCTCTTCCTCCTCCTCCGGGAACCCGCTCGTGTACCTGGACGTGGACGCCAACGGGAAGCCGCTCGGCCGCGTGGTGCTGGAGGTGAGACCGCTCGCAGGGCCGGCCTGGGCGCGGGACACGGGCCCGGGGAGAGCCCTGGGCCCCGGGCGGCGCGGTGCCGGGCGCGCTGGGTGACCTTGGGCCTCCCCATGCCGAGCTCTGGGCCTCAGTTTCCCCATTTCTGAGAATGGGCGTCAGAATGATTTCTTCCGGCCTCCCTCGGAGCACTGGAGCGGGGGAGACGGGAGGGAGGGCACGTGTGGAGGAGAAAGCTCAAGGTCAGATCGCAGAGAGGGAGGGCTCAGCACCTCTGGGCCGGCCCGGGCACGAGGGAGGGGCTCCAGGAGCCTTCTGGGGCTGAGCCTAGATCCGGAGCTCCGAGGTGGGTGTCGGGGGTCTTGGGGTGAGCGTCGTGGCCCAGCGGGTGCTCACGTGGCGGCCCTTGCACAACACGGAGCGCTTCCTGGCTCCGGCCCCGCCCCTGCGGTCGGGCTCACACTGGGGGTGCTGGGAAATGGAGCGAGAGGTGGTTTCCAGCAGTAGTGCGGGCCCAGTAGGCCTCAGGCCCCGGCCACCTGGTGGACCCCAGAATGCCCCTCCTGCGAGTCGGGACACACTCAGAGACAGTGTGCCCGGCGCCTCAACCCCTGCCACTGTCCTTGGGGGCCACACTGAGCACCTCCCCTAACTCTGTTTTTGGGTCTTTTCTAAAGCAAAGTAAGAAACAGTCACCAGGGTAGCTTTAGAGGGAAAGCCCTAGTGGAGCCTTCAGGTCGGCCACACATTGACAGCAGGGGTCTGTTTGTGTTGACTGGCCCGTATCCCAGGGAGCCCTTAGTATTTCTTCTTCATTCTCAGTTTCTTCTGGAAAATAGGGACACCCTTCCTGCTTCCATTTGGTTCCAGGGTGGGTCTTGCAGCTTCGAGGGTAGAGGCTGGCTGGGATGGGGCTTCAGCCTTCCCTCCCCACACCCTCATGCCTCTCCCTGGGCCTCAGTTTCCCAACCCCGAATGGAGGAGCTGGTCTGGCTTCTACCTTAGACACACTCTCTTGTCCCTGAATTTCTGATGCTTTGGGCCCAGCTGTGGGAGCACTGCCAGCTGTGTCCACAGAAGTAGGCCAAGATAGCATTGTCATCTCTTCTGACAGATTAGGAAACCAAGGCCACCTCCTCCAGCCTTGGGTTCAGGAAACGGCTCCCAGAAATGATAGAGCTGCCTCCCATGGGGGTTGGCAATAATGGGAATGGAATGTCCACGTGCTTCTTCCTTAGCCTCCTTGGCCACTGTGGGGGTGGGTGGGTGCTGAGAGACACCCACCTTCACCTGCCTCTCCAATGACCATCCTCTTTTGTCCTTCTTCTCCCCCAACAGCTGAAGGCAGATGTCGTCCCAAAGACAGCTGGTAAGACAGGGCCTGGGGCCTTCTGAGATGGGTCTAGAGGGAAGGGGGCCAGGCAGGGCAAGGTGGGTGGCGTGATGAGAAGAGTCGGGGCTCAGAGACCCCTGACAGATGGGAGCTCCATGTGTGGCTCAGCCATTGGGTGCTCTGGGGCAGCCCTGCCATCCCTCTCTGGGCCTCAACGTTGGCTCTGCCCTCCTCTCTCATAGTAGCTGGGAGCCTCAGAGCCAGTGGAAGGCACATGTAAATTTCCCGGAGACTTCCCCACTCCTGGTGCCCAGTGAGGCAGGGTGATGGGCACACAGCCCTTGAGTCCGTGCCCTGCTGGCCAGCACAGCCATGAGCCTGTACTCTTGTCACAGTGCTCAGGTACTGAGGACAGGGAAGGGGAGTGACTTGTCCAGTTACATAGCGAGTTGGGCAGAGCAGACCCAAGAGGTGGGCCAGAGTCTTTATCCCCCTGTTCACTGCTGGGGATGTAGCAGGGATTTTGGCTGGAACGGGTATGACCCTGGAATTGGGGCCTGGCCCTGTTGACCTGTGTTTCTCTTCGACCCTCAGAGAACTTCAGAGCCCTGTGCACTGGTGAGAAGGGCTTCGGCTACAAAGGCTCCACCTTCCACAGGGTGATCCCTTCCTTCATGTGCCAGGTAATGTAGTTTCCTCTTCTGTAAGGGGGGATGAGAGCAGGAGCTGCCTTGTGGGTGTGTGAAGATGCCTGGTATGAGGAAGGTGCTGAGCAGAGCAGCTGCAGTTGCTCTGTCAGCCAGGCTGCCCTCCCTGCATTAGCCCTGTATCCAGGCTTCACTGCACATGGAAGCCCAGCCCCAACCCGCTGCCACTCCAGGTCAGTGGCAGGCCCTGCCCGGGGGACTGGGAGGTGGAGTCTATCAAGAGAGAGCTGGGTTGGGAGATGGATGTGCTGGGGGTGGCCTTGAAGACTTTGAAGAGCCAGCATATTCCAGTGGTCTCTGACCTTGTCCCCTGTGTGCCCCTGAGCACTGGTGTGGGAGATAAGAGAGGGAGAGAGAGAAGTGGAGGAGGCGGAGGAGGAAGACAGGTCCAGGGCAGGAACACACACGCCAGGACTTGGGGCTTCCCTTCCCAGAGAAAGGCATTATTCTCGGTGAAATGAATGTTTTTCGGTCATGTGTCATGCTCAGTTTTCACAAGCATTGGTATTGCTGTGTCAGAGGTTTGGGGGTAGGTGTTGTAGCAGGAGCTTCCTGTGGGTCAGGACCCAGGTGGTGTTGGGGCTGGTCTTCTATTAGCACAGACCTTCAAGATCAGGGATTGGGTGTCCTGGGCAGGCAGAGCCTGGAGGCAGGGGCATGGCTGTCATGACCTCTTTGAAGACCTTCCTGCCTGGAATTCTCTCCCCATTCCCTCCACCCTGACCCAGTGGCCGTCATCGTACCGTGGTAAGTGGCAGCGGGTTGGGACTGGACGTCTATGTGCGGCGAAGCCTGGATACGGGGTGAACACAGGGACGGCAGGCCTGGCCCAGCCCTAAGGCTGATGGTAAAGTAGGAGCTGAGGTGGAAGTCCTGAGCCAGGGTGGGAACTCCAGCGCGGGAGGGCTCCCTGGCACAAGGCGGTGGCACCGGGAGTCCAGACCAGAGTCCTGAGTCATCCGTTGGGAGGGATATCAATTAGGGAGCACCTAATTGACACCTGTGGATGCTTCAGCTGGGCTGGTCAGTTCCCCTCTCTTACCCACGGATCCCATCTCAGGAAAACAGCAGCCAGCCATGGCCTGGGCTGGGCAGCGCTAGGCATAGGGGCTGCTACCAGGCTCTTCTGGCCATGGGTGCCCCATGCAGGTTTGGCCACGGCTGCCTGGGCCTTAGCTGAGGCCTGAGGAAAGATGTCAGCCTTGGGCAGACTCTGTCCTGGGTCTGCAAGGGTTGGGAAAGCTGCTGGGCTGGGTAAGGGGCAGTGCGCGGACAGTGAGGGGACTCGGCCTGGGGAGCTGGTCTGGACCAGCTGCTGGTACTCCCACAGACTAGACTCGGGAACTGGGGGGCCTCTGGCCTCTTCCTTGTTGCCCTCCAGGAGGAGTGGGTTAAATTCTGGGTCACTAAGTATCATCTCAGAATGGCCTTTAGGTCTTTTGAAGATTACTTAAAAATTTGCTCAGACAAAAAGTAAGTCATTTGGAAACAAAGGTAGTTACGGTGACAAAAGATATTTAAGTTTTGTCTTTTTTTTTTTTGCTTATTATTCTTATTATTAGCTCTTATTTTATTGGATGTTTATTGACCCCTTTACCTGAGGGGCGCCAACTGGGTGGGCTTGGGTGGGCTGAGGCTGCTGCCAGCGCCAGGGCCGTGGCCCCCGCCTGCTCCATGGTAGCCACTCAGAAGGTGCTTTGTGCTCACAGGCGGGCGACTTCACCAACCACAATGGCACAGGCGGGAAGTCCATCTACGGAAGCCGCTTTCCTGACGAGAACTTTACACTGAAGCACGTGGGGCCAGGTGAGTGGGGGCCTCCTCTAGGGTGAGTGTCCCCACAGCTCTGACCTGGCCTGGAAGCCCCAGCAGGCCCTGAGAGGCCACATGCAGTCACCGTCCAGTATCTGATGAGTCTCCTTCCTCCCTGCGACACTGTAGGCTGTCTCAGCATTTCTGGCTTGTTGAGTTTCCCTAGAGTTTTCTCATCTCTCAGTTTAAAAAGCAGGGTTTCCTTTGGGAACTTTGTGGAAGAACCTTTAAGCAGAATGGAGGCCCTGGCCACCTCCCTGTTTGTCCTCTGAGTTTCGGGTTGGAAATTCTAGGACACTTAGAATTGTTGCAGAATGGTCCTTAGGTCCTTTGAGGATTATTTAAAATCTTGCTTAGATAAAAAGCAAATGGTTTGGAAGCCAGAGTGGTTATTGTGGCAGCATCGTGTCACCTATAAGACCCAAGGTAGAATGTGGAGATGTCTGGAGGTCAGGTCCTGGGGTCCTGCCCCAGGTCCCGCCCCAGCTCTACCACTGAGAGCTTCCACAAGGCCCTGTCCTCTCAGGCCACCCCACTGAGAACTAGCAGGCAGCAAAGGCAGGCATACCCTGGGGGGCTGGTATCGGGCCCTGGTTCTCCTCTTCTGGGTCCCAGGATCTGCAGACTCGAATGTCCCTGGTGTGGTTTGCACCGTCTGCCCTTTCAAATGCCCTCCCAGGCAGGTGCCTCCAGGGGCAGCGTGGCTCAGCCCTGCTGGTTTTTGCAGGTGTCCTGTCCATGGCTAATGCTGGTCCTAACACCAACGGCTCCCAGTTCTTCATCTGCACCATAAAGACAGACTGGTGAGTTCCCTGCCCCAGGCCCTCTGGGAATGCGGGCAGCCTTGCAGCTGGAGGAGGATTCGTGCACTTTTAGGGGCAGGCAGTTTACAGCCAGGCCTTCTGCTCTGGGACAGTGGCCCTCTCCCAGGCTGTGTGTTTGTATGAGAAAGAGAAAGTTAGTGGAAGGATCAAGGGAGAATTGGGGTTGTTCCTGCAACTCTGTCATGGTTCGGGTTCCCATTGTTGCTGTCACCTGGAATTTTCTGAGTGTGTTCTGCTCACACGCACACACGAAAGGGTTTCTCTACCAGATACATTTGGGAAATGTTGCAAAACATATTATGAGGCCTCAGGAGGGACTGAGTAGAAGCCCACTTGTGTGGTTTTAACCTGGAGTTTCCCAGGCTTGTCTTGACCATGGGCTGAGCCTTGGCAATGCTGCAGCAGACATTTGGATATCAGCAAATTTCCAAATGAAGCCTCTGTATTATCATAAACCTGCAGATAGCCACAGGCCTGTAAGGGCCCTGTTTTCAATGCCCATGGATTTTAGGGATGTCTCTTTCCTGGTACATTTTCCTCTAAGGGATAAATTTCTCTGGCCAGAGTCCCAAATGTCCTAGCCCTGGGGCACCTGGGGATGAACTGGCTGGGAGCTGACTTGGTAAAGCCCATTTCCGAGGATTTTAGGGAGACCTAGGTGGGGCAGACACTAGAAGTGTCCAGCCTCCAAGCCCAAGAGATGTGGCCGGCAGGGCTGGGCAGGTCCTTGCTGGCTCAGCCTGCTCTTTGCTCCTTCATGGGACCCCAGTGGATCCTGCAGTTCTGCTCTTGGCTGGAACCACGCCAGCTTCGCTGGAGCTGGACTGAGCCGCCTTTTACATTATTGGACTCTCTCGGGTTGAGAGCTGCCCAGGACTCCTGCAGTTTCACCACCCTTGTTCCTTTGACTCTTGACTCATCATTCATGACCGTTAACGTGGTTCCATTTGTATGGACTTCTTCTTTCTTCAGAGCATTTCAGTATCCTGTTACCTCCCCATGCAGAACAAAGAATACTCCACTTTTGATAGATGGGGTTACCAGGATTCAGGCTACATGGCCTGAGGCAAGGTCACAACATGAGTGACAGAATGTGTCCTGGAAGCCAGGCATCCTCTGGGGTGTATTTGGGGCGCTCAACAAGGCTTGATCGAGCTTTGGGGGTAGATCTAGCTATTCCATGGGGATTCTTTTCAGAATTGCTGTTTTCGGTAACTAATTCCATGACCAGGTCCATGGCATTGGATGACATTGCGCTACACTGTTGCTCACCCGGGTCACCCGTCCTCACAGGTTGGATGGCAAGCATGTTGTGTTCGGTCACGTCAAAGAGGGCATGGACGTCGTGAAGAAAATAGAATCTTTCGGCTCTAAGAGTGGGAGGACATCCAAGAAGATTGTCATCACAGACTGTGGCCAGTTGAGCTAATCTGTGGCCAGGGTGCTGGCATGGTGGCAGCTGCAAATGTCCATGCACCCAGGTGGCCGCGTTGGGCTGTCAGCCAAGGTGCCTGAAACGATACGTGTGCCCACTCCACTGTCACAGTGTGCCTGAGGAAGGCTGCTAGGGATGTTAGACCTCGGCCAGGACCCACCACATTGCTTCCTAATACCCACCCTTCCTCACGACCTCATTTCTGGGCATCTTTGTGGACATGATGTCACCCACCCCTTGTCAAGCATTGCCTGTGATTGCCCAGCCCAGATTCATCTGTGCCTTGGACATGGTGATGGTGATGGGTTGCCATCCAAGTGAAAGTCTTTTCCTTGACCAAGGGGGACAGTCAGTTTTGCAAAAGGACTCTAATACCTGTTTAATATTGTCTTCCTAATTGGGATAATTTAATTAACAAGATTGACTAGAAGTGAAACTGCAACACTAACTTCCCCGTGCTGTGGTGTGACCTGAGTTGGTGACACAGGCCACAGACCCCAGAGCTTGGCTTTTGAAACACAACTCAGGGCTTTTGTGAAGGTTCCCCCGCTGAGATCTTTCCTCCTGGTTACTGTGAAGCCTGTTGGTTTGCTGCTGTCGTTTTTGAGGAGGGCCCATGGGGGTAGGAGCAGTTGAACCTGGGAACAAACCTCACTTGAGCTGTGCCTAGACAATGTGAATTCCTGTGTTGCTAACAGAAGTGGCCTGTAAGCTCCTGTGCTCCGGAGGGAAGCATTTCCTGGTAGGCTTTGATTTTTCTGTGTGTTAAAGAAATTCAATCTACTCATGATGTGTTATGCATAAAACATTTCTGGAACATGGATTTGTGTTCACCTTAAATGTGAAAATAAATCCTATTTTCTATGGAAGACTGGTACCTGGTTTCTGGAAGAGGGGTCTGTGACTTGGAGCTGATCTTTACTGAGCTCGCCGTGGCAGATGCCATGCTCAGGACGTTCATGTGGATGGTTTCATGTCATCGTGCTGGCAACTTGTCCTCCCTGCCTTAGAGATGAGGCTCAGACAAACGACCTTAGCACCCATAGCCTATGCCATGAGCACTGGCTCCACCCTGAATCCCAGCTCCTCCCCTTAGTGACCCCAAGTCTGTTTCCCTCAGCTGCATAAGGAGGCGATATAGTTTGAATATTTGTCCCCAGCCAAATCTCATGTTGAACTGTAATCCCCAGTGCTGGAGGTGGGGCCTGCTACGAGGTGTTTGGATCATGGGGACGGGTATTTCATGGCTTGGTGCTGTTTTCTTGATGGTGAATTATTGCAAGATACGGTCATTTAAAATTGTGTGGCACCTCCCCCTGCCCCCTTCTTGCTCCTGCTTTCACCATGTGACATGCCTGATCCCCCTTCACCTTTTGCCATGGTCATAAGCTTCCTGAGGCCTCCCTGGAAGCTGAGCAGATGCCAGCACCATGCTTCCTGTACATCCTGCAGAACCATAAGCCAATTAAACCTTTTTAATAATAAATTACTCAGTCTCAAGTATTTTTTTATAGCAATACAAGAATCCTAACACGGGTTAACAATAAGGCCCACCTCGTAGGGTGGTGATCCACGTGAAGTGCATAACGCAGTGTCTGGCGCACCTTCCTAAGCACTCTGGAGTGACAAGGATGATGACCTTTCCCCTGTCAGGGTCTTAGGAAGGAGGAGGGATGCCAGAGCAAAGGAGCCTCCATCATCTGAGGTTAGGAGTGGACTTCCTAGGATAAGCCAGTTCCATTTGGAATTGACTTCTAGGTGTTTCCAAATTCACAGGGAAGGCAGGATTGGAGGTAAGAGCTTCCCTAGGTAGACAGGGCTGTGGTGTGGCCCGGCAGTTGAGTGGTCAGGCAGGCAGTTCTCAGAGGAAATTTGGGCCCTTTTGAGGGCATCTAACAGAATTATTTCTCACTGGGGTTCCCTGAGTGAGGTTATGTGTAGTCTTAGGTTAATGGAGTCACTCTGAGGTCATGGTGACTGGGGTCGGGTCATTTGGAGTCATGGAGAGTTCCCATGAAGTCAGTTTCAGTAGGACAAGTAGTCTTAAAACAATTATCAAGAGCGTTAAGAGTCCTCAAAGCAGACAAGGAGGACACAAGGAGCATGGGCCCCTGAACCCCATTTGCAGTCATAGATGCCCTCCATTTATATTGGGGTTCTGTAAGGGATTTCATTTGAAGAATAGGATCTTGAGCCAAATCATAATTAGTAATTTCTCATCCAGTCCAACACTTTACAGATGGGTAAACTGAGACCCCAAGAGGGATTATGATTGTCCCATGTGACCCTGTGAATCAATTGGCAAAACGGGCTAGAATCCAGGGTTTTTGGCAGTCTGCAGGGATTTCTGTTGGGGGCCTTCGAGAATGCACAGGTGCCTTGGGGGACATATTGCCAAAGGTTCTCAGGCCACACACATTCAGAGCACAACTGATCTCTGAGGTCAAAGCCCACAGCTTCACTCCCTCTGGAGTTTCCTCTTTTGGGGCTTATGTTTAGTCATTGTGTTTCCTTCTTGCTGAGGAGAGTGTGTGTGTGTGCACGCGTGTATGTGTGTGTGTCTATGTGTGTGTATCTCCACCCAGAGAAGTCTAAGGTGAGGTGAGGGTGCACCAAACATGCAGGAATCTCCTAAAAACCGAGTTCCCTGAAAGCAGGGCCGTTCCCTGTGCTGCTCATTCCCTGAGCTCCCTGCACAAAGGCCTGAGCCTAGTCATATTTCTTGCATAAAGCAAGAACATAAGTAATATACAAATAAAATACTGGCTTGTTTCTGGCCAGTGAGCACTCAATACCTCATGCATAAATGAGGCAGTGAGTCTTACACATGCACTCATAGATGTAATCATAAGTGGTGCCATGTACACACGATTTTTAAAAAAAATCTGAAACATCAATTTTATTTTCTGTGATGTGATAGCTTTTCAAAATGATTTCATTGAGGTATATTTACGTACAAGAAAAGTCACTTCAAGTGTACACATCAATGACTTTTGACAAAAGCATATACTAGTAATATCTATCACCAAATTAAGATACAGAATGTTTCCGTCTTTCCAGAAAGTTCTCTCTGTGCCCCTTCCCAGGCAGCCACTGGATCTTATCCCTGTAATTTTGCCTGTTCTAGAACTTTGTAGAAATGGTATTGAGCAGGGTTCACTTTTTCATGTCTGGCTTCTCCAGTGTGGCATGTGTGAGAATGTGTGAGGCTCTAATATGCTTCTGGGTTCTAAAGAATCTTGCTCCATGAAAAGGAATTTCTTAAAGGTTTCGTAGGTCTGGGAAGGCCTAAAGCAATGCTTCTAGGAATCACAGAGTGCCAGTAAATCATGCAGATTTCTGGCCATACCTGAGACGCCTTTTGAATATTTGCATCTAGGAATCTGAATTTTAAAATAATAATTCTGAGAGGTGAAGCCAGCTGGACATCCCTTGGGGAACTTTCCTGTCTTACAAGAGGATTGTAAAATGCACCAATCAGCGCTCTGTAAAATGCACCAATCAGCACTCTGTAAAACGGACCAATCAGCAGGATTCTGAAAGTAGCCATTCGTGGGGAGGACTGAAAAAAGGCACTCTGATAGGACAGAAATGGAACATGGGCGGGGACAAATAAGGGAATAAAAGTTGGCTATCCCAACCAGCAGCCGCAACTGGCTCGGGTCTCTTTCCGTGTTGTGGAAACTTTGTCCTTTCCCTCTTCACAATAAACCTTGCTACCGCTCACTTGTGCCATCTTTAAGAGCTGTAACACTCACCGTGAAGGGCCGTGGCTCCATTCTCGAAGTCAACGAGACCATGAACTCTCCGGCAGGAAGCAATTCCGGAGACAAATCTGATAAAGCTTAAGAATTTGAGTGTAGCCACAGTGGGTAAGAGTGAAAGGGAAGGTCATGGCTCAACACTAGAGTCATCATTTACTTCTGGAAACATTTTTTACTGGACTTTCTGGGACTCTAGTGTGACACCCTCCACTTTTAAAAGAAGCCTCACTTAAGGAGTCTGACCGACAAGTCTCGGATGACTGGGTGGGGCACATCCTATTCCACTCAAGCTCTGTGGAGGCCAGTGGGCAGGGGAGCTCCTCGATAGCGCTGGTCAAAGTGGCCAGCCAGGCATGGTGGCTCATGCCTGTAATCCCAGCACTTTGGGAAGCAGAGGTGAACGGATTGCTTGAGCCCAGGGGTTTCAGACCAGCCTGGTCAACATAGTGAGATCGCATCTCTACAAAAAAAAAAAAAAAAAAAAAAAAAAAAAAAAAAATTAAAACTTAGCTGGGCTTGGTGACATGTGCCTGTGGTCCCAGCTACTCGGGAGGCTGAGGTAAGAGGATCACTTGAGCCCAGGAGCCGGAGGCTGCAGTGAGCCATGATCATGCCACGGGACTGCAGTCTGGGTGACAGAGCAACACGCTGTCTCAAAAAGAGAAAAGAAAAAGTGGCTCCCCCTGTCTTTGCCTATGCAGGAGCCTGTGAAGGAAGAAGCTCCTAGAGGGGTGGAGGCCCCAGCTCTTGTTTTGTCATCTAGGAGGAGGGGCTGCCTTGGGTGGGTCTTGGATGGAGTGCATTTCTCAGTGAGTGGATTGCGGAGGCCAGAAGTCAGCTCTATGTCCAAGATTCTTCAGAATATGGCAGGTAGAGAAAGTCTTGGGTCCATTCTGCCTCCCAGATCACCCAGCCTGTAGAGGCTGTCCAGAATTATGCTGATAACATTATTGCTATTCTATCATATTGTGATCGTTAATTTTATGGGTCAATTTTTTTTTTTTGAGATGGGGTCTCACTCTGTCACCCATGCCGGAGTGCAGTGGCACAATCATAGCTTGCTGTAACCTCAAACTCCTAGGCTCAAGCAATCCTTCCACCTCAGCACCCTGAGTAGCTGGGACTACAGGCACGTGCCACCATGCTTGGCTATTTATTTTTTATTTTTTTAAAAGATGCGGGTCTTGCTGTATTTCCCAGGCCAGTCTCTCCTGGCCCCAAGTGGTCCTCCCACTTCAAATTCCTAAAATGTTGAGATTATAGGTGTCAGGCACCACACCCAGCCTTATGTGTCAACCTAACTGGGTCACAGAGTGCTTACACATTGGGTCAGACACTATTCTGGGTGTGTCTGTGAGGGTGTTTCTGTCTAAGATTAATATTTGCATAGCTAGACCGAGTAAAGCAGGTGGTTCTCCCTCGTGTGGGTGGACTTCGTCCAGTCAACTGAAGACCTGAATAGAACAAAAGGCTAAGAGGGAACGCCTCCTGCCTGACGGTCCTCAGCTGGAACATTGGTATTTTCTGCCTTTGGACTCAAACTGAAATGTTGGCTGTCTCAGGGTCTTGAGCCTGCCAGCCTTCAGACTGGAACCTACATTGGCTCTTCTGGTTCTCAGGCCTTCAGACTCGGACTGGACCTACACCATTGGCTCTCCTGGGTCTCCAGCCCGCCAACTACAGGTGGTGGGTCTTCTCAGCCCCCATGATCACATGAGCCAATTCCTTATGTTTTTGTATCATATATATCTTATGTATATGGTATAAATATATACACACACACACACACACACACATATATATTCTACTGATTCTGTTTCTCTTACACATATTGTCTTTTTTCTATTTATAAAACCAAAATGCACATGTAAAAATTCAAATGTTACATAATTATATAATATAGAGAATTAGCATTGCCTACAATCCTATTACAGTAATAGTTGGTATAGGTTTCTGCATTTGCTTAGCTGCAAAGACCACCACTCCTTTCCTAACAATGAGAAGAAGTTGAATAAACTACAAAATCGTAACTTTTCTTGAGCTCACCAGAAAGGCAACCAAATAACCTGAGTTTCAAAGAGGAACAAAGCGGCCAGTCGCCGTGGCTCACGCCTGTAATCCCAGCACTTTGGGAGGCCAAGGTGGGCGGATCACCTGAGGTCAGGAGTTGGAGACCAGCCTGGCCAACGTGGTGAAACCCTGTCTCTACTAAAAATAAAAAAAAAATAGCCGAGCATGGTGGTGCATGCCTGTAATCTCAGCTACTCTGGAGACTGAGGCAGGAGAATCACTTGAACCGGGAGGCGGAGGTTGCAATGAGCCGAGATTGCACCACTGCACTCTAGCCTGGGCAACAGAGTGAGACTCCATCTCAAAAAAAAAAAAAAAAAAAAGAGGAACAAGGCCCTGCAAGGAGAGACAGGACACACAGTTTCACCTGTGGCAGAGCACTGTAGGAAGATATGACCATGAAACAACTGTGTAAAATAAAATAAAATTAGGTAAGCCTTTTAATGAATTGCTAAAGGCCAAGAGGGGGCTAATGTGTCCATCTGGAGTAGCTGGGGACCCCAGATGCAAAGGGAGTTCAACATCTTTCTCCAGGCTCCCACCAGATGCACAGAAGACCTAAGAGGTAGCCCAACTTGGTGGTTCAGGTCTGCAGGAGGGGACCTTCAGCTGCTGGAGAAAGGCACGGAGCCTCGTCCACTTCCTCAGGTTCTTCTCTCCAATGAAGTAAATTTGAGAATCCACTGGGAGGTTGGGCATTACACCATCCACCCCCAGGAACATGTAAAAGTGCACTGTGGCTGGGGGAAGTAGAACACACATCCTTTTATCCCTGTGGGAGGGGTAAGAAGCCATCCAGGGCCCAGGATCCTTTAGCGATACCAACCAGAAATTGACTACCTCTGGTGGAAGAGGGAGCAAGAAACAGCCAAGACATGCCTAAGACTAAGGCGGGATGAGGACAGCAGAAAAGCCTCCTGCCTTACTATGAGCCTGGTCTACCAGTGGGGGAGGGCGGGGCATGGAGAGAGACACCCTCCGTATTGCAGAAAGCTGAGTGTGGAGTCTAAACAATCCTTTGGCACCCCAGCTCCACTGTAAGCACAAGTCAACAGTAATCCACCACTTAAGGAATTTGAAGCCTATGGAGCTCTGAAAGCAAGAATAGCAACACAAACCCCAAATCCAGCTCAACCCCTGAGGCGACTAACTCAATTTCCCACAATAATGGCCTGAAAGAATCAGTGGCATGCCTGTTTCCAGTGTACATACTGTATTAGTCAGGGTTCTTCAGAGAACTAGAACCAATTGGATGTGTATATATGTATAGGCAGAGGGAGAGAGAGAGATTGAGAGATTTTAATTAATTGGCTCATGCAGTTGTGGGACCTGGGCAATTCCAAATTCTGCAGGACAGGCCAGCAGGCTGGTGACTCAGGGAAGAGTTGATTTTGGAGCTTGGGTTCAAGAAGCAAAATGCCACCTTCTTTGGTGGACCTTAGTCTTTTTCTCTTAAAGTCTTCAACTGATTGGATGAGGCCCACCACATTATGGAGGGCAATATGCTTTACTCAAAGTCACTGATTTAAATTTTAATCTCATCTCAAAAATACCTTCACAGCAACATCTAGACTGGTGTGTGACCAAATATCTGAGTACCCTGGCCTAGCCAAGTTGACACATAAAATTAATAATGACACATACTGTTCACTACTGTCTCTTCTATTGTTGGAATTCTATTGATTTTCAACAAAAAATTAGAAGACACACAAAATGCAAAGAAGAAAAACATTGTCAAGAAATAAAACAACAGAATCAGACTCAGATATAACATTGTCAGATATGAACATTAAAATAACTCTGATTAATATGTTGGAAGATCTAGTGGGAAAGGATGCATTTCAGTAGAGAAAAACTACAAGAAAGAGCCTAATGGAGATGCTAGAAGTGAAAAAATATATTAAAATGAAGAATTCCTTTGATGAGCTTATTAGTAAACTTAGCACAGCTGAGGAATATATCAGTGACCTTAAAGAGGTCAAAAGAAATTAATCCAGATGGAAACACAAAGAGAAATCAGAATGAAAGAGAACAGAGCATCAAAGAACTATGGGATAATATCAAAATGCCTAGCAGAGGTGTCATTTTAGCCCCAGAATGAGAAAAGAAATGAATGCAGAAGAATAAGTATTTAAAGAAATAAGTGGTAACATTTTTCCAGAATTATTGAGACATATCAAACCACAGATACAAGAAATTCTGAGAACCTCAAGCAGGAAAGACCACACACACACACACGCACACACACACACCAGAGTGGCTTAGCATCAAACTATGAAAACCAAAGAAAACAAGAAAATCTCTAAGGCAATCTCCCACAACACACACACACCAAAACCGTGAATTACAGAGGAACAAAGATAAAAATGATAGCAGACTTCTCATTAGAAATTATGCAAGTTAAAAACAATGAATTGACAAGTTAATTTTTATTTTTAATTTTTGTGGGTACTTAGTAGGTGTATACTTATGAGGTACATAAGATGTTTCGATTCAGGCATGCCATGTGAAAGGGAAATGAACACATCATGGATTGAGACTTTAAAGTACTGAGTGGGAGAAAAAATAACCCATCTATTCACAATTCTACGGCCAGGGAAAATACCCTTCAAAAATAAAAGCAGAAAACAAAAGCAAAAATCCTTTCTGACAACAAAGGCAGAACAAATTCACTGTCAGCAGACCCATGATACAAGCAAGGTTAGAAGAAGTTCTTCAGGAAGAAGTATGATACCAAACAGCAGCTTGGATCTACACAAAGAAATGAAGAAATTCTGGAAATGGTAAAAAAATTAAGTATATAAAAGCACTTTCTTTCATTATTTTAAATGTAATTTGACTTAAAAAGATTATCTTTAAAAATAATCCTGCTTTAATGAGGACAAATACCTAATGCAAATGGGGCTTTTAAAACCTAGGTGACGGGTTGATGGGTGCAGCAAACCACCATGGCATATGTATACCTATGTAACAAACCTGCAAGTTCTGCACATGTATCCCAGAACTTAGAGTAAAATTAAAACAAAAAAAATCATACTTTAACCTTTGTTTCAAAGTCTATCACAGAATTTTAGTATGTGTAAAAGTAAAATGCATGCTAAAATTGCACAAGGAATGAGAGGAAGAAATCAGAAGTAAACTGTTGTAAGATTCTTACGCTATAGTTGAAGTTGTATATTATTTGAATGTAGACTGTGATAAATTAATGACATATGTTGTAAACATGAAAACAACCACTCACTTCTTAAAAGAGATCTATTTACATTAGTTTCCCATGGCTGCTGTCACAAATTACCATAAACATACTTGCTTAAGACAATACAAATTGGCTGGGCGTGGTGGCTCATGCCTGTAATCCCAGCACTTTGGGAGGCCGAGGCCGGTGGAACACGAGGTCAGGGGTTCAAGACCTGCCTGGCCAAGATGGTGAAACCCCATCTCTACTAAAAATACAACAATTAGCCGGGAGTAGTGGTGGGCGCTTGTAATCCCAGCTACCTGAGAAGCTGAGGCACAGAATTGCTTGAACCCAGGAGGTGGAGGTTGCAGTGAGCCGAGATTACACCACTGCACTCCAGCCTGGGCGACAGAGTGAGACTCTGTCTCAAAAACAAACAAACAAACAAACAAACAAGAACAACAAAAAACCCACAGATTTAAGTCTGAAATGGGTTTCACTGGGCTAAAGTCAAGATGCTGGTAGGTTGCATTATTTTGGAGGCTCTAGGGGAGAGAACATTCCTTGCCTTTTCTAACTGCTTCTAGAGGTTGCCTGTATTCCTCGGCTTGTGGCTTCTTCCTCCATCTTCAAAGCCAACATAGCATCATCACCTGAATCTCTGCTTCTGTATCATCTTCTTCTCTGACTCTCACTCTCCTACATTCCTCCTGCACTTTTCAGTACCCTTGTGATTACATTGGACCCATTGGGTAATCCAGATAATCTTCCCATATTAAAATTCTTAACTTAATTACCTCTGCAAAGTTCCTTTTGCTATGTAAGTTAACACATTCATAGGTAGAAAGAGAGATGAAAGGAACAAAACACAAATGGATAGTATTTGGATGACAATTTAAAATTCAAACATATTATAATAACATTACATGTAAATAGTCTAAATATTGCAATTAAAGCTTATTCTATTAAGACATATATGGTAAACCCTAGAGAAACTACTAAAAAAAACCCTCAAAAAATATAATGAAAAAAATCACATTTAATTAATGAAAATTTCAATACTATATTGGAAAATATTCACTTGATGCAAAAGACAATATTAAAGAAGAAATAGAGGAACAAAAATGACATGAGACACAAGAAAAACAAAAGGTAAGTTGGCAGATGCAAATCCAAATATGCTAATGACGACATGAAATATAAATTGATTAAGCAATCTGATCAAAAGACTGAGCTAGACCGCATTAAAAAAACCAGATCCAACTATATGGTGTCTATAGGAGACAAGCTTTTAAATACATACAGAAATAGACTGAAAGTAAAAGGATGGAGAAAGACACATTAGCTTATATAACAGCAACCACATGAAAGCTAAAGTGGCTACAATAATATCAAACAAAATATAATTTAAAACAACAAATGTTACTGGAGGCATGGTGGCTCACACTTGTAATCCCAGCACTTTGGGAGGCTGAGGTGGGAGAATCACTTGAAACCAGGAGTTCAAGACCAGCCTAGACAACATAGTGAAAACTTGTCTCTATTTAAAAACAAAACCAAACAAATGTTACTGGAGATAAAGAGGGACATTGTATAATGGTGAATTCATTGGAGAGATATAACAATTAGATACATATATGTGCCCCATAAAAGAATACCAAAGTACCCGAAGCACAACCTGACAGAAATAAAGGGAGAAATAACAATTTAACAATAATAGAGACTTCAATAATGAATAGAACAACTACACAGAAGATTAACAGGGAAAGAGGACTAGAACAAAACTGTACATGAACCAGAACTAGCAGACATCAATAGAACCCTCTGCCTAACAACAACAAAGGGTACCTTCTTCTCAAGCACACGTAGAACCTTCTCTAGGGCAGGCCATCTGGCTAGACTATAAACAAACCTCTGTACATTTAAAGGACAGGAATAATGTGACGCATGTTTTCCAAGCACAATGGAATGAAATTAAAAGTCAATTGCAGGGAAAATTTGAGGGAACTCATAAATAAGTAGACATTAACAATTAAACAACACAGATCTTCTGGGATGCAGCTAAAGCAGTGATTAGAGGAAAACTTATAACTGGAAATGCCTACATTAATGAAGAATAAAGGTTTCGAATGAGTAACCTAATCTTTCATCTTAAAACACTGGGAAAAGAAGACAAAATAAACCCAGAGCAAGAAAAAGGAAGGAAATAAATATTAAGGCAGAAATTAATAAAATAGAGATGAGAAAAGCTGTGGAGAAAAATCAATGATCCAAAAGCCAGCTTTTCATAGAAAGATCAACAAAATTGACAAACCTTTAGTCAGTTTGATGAAGAAAAAAGAGAGAAGACTCAACTTAGTTGAATTATAAATTAAAGAGGGAATATTATTACCAGCCTTTCAGAAAGAAAAAGGATTAAAGAGGACTAGTATGAACAATTATATTGCAACAAATTAGGTAACTTACATGAAATGCACAAATTCCTAGAAAGACACAGACTTCAAAAATATATAAGCTGAATAGACCGCTAGTAAGTGAAGAGACTAAAGCAGTAATCAAAATCTACCTGCAAAGAAAAGCCTAGGTCCAGATGGCCTCTGGGCTGCATTCTACCTATCACTCAAAGAAGAATTAATACCAATTTTTTACAAACTCTTCCAAAAAATAGAAGAGAAGGGAACAGTTTCCCTGTTATTCTATGAGGCCAGTATTACCCTGATGTCAAAACCAAAGACATCACAAGAGAAGAAAACTATGGACCAATATCGCTTATGAATATGGCCACAAAAATCCCCAACAAAATACTAGCAAATGAATACAGCAACATATAAAATGAATTATACATCTTGACCAAGTGTGATTTATCCCAAGGGTGTAAGGTTGGTTTAACATCTGAAAATCTATTAATATAATATATATTATAATTACATAATATATAATAGCATATAATATAATTTCAATAGAATAAAAACAAAAATTACATGATTATCTTAATAGATGCAGAAGAAGCATTCAACAAAATCCAAAACCCTTTCATTATTAAAAAAAAAAACCACTGAATGAGCTAGTAATAGAAGGAATCTTTCTCAATATGTAAAGGACATCCATGACAAACCTAGAGCTAACATCATATTTAATGGTGAAAGACTGAATGCTTTCCCCTTAAGATCAGAAGTAAGACATGATATTTGCTTTTGCTTTCGGAACTTTTTTTTTTTTTTGACACAGGGTCTTACTGTGTTGCTCAGGCTAGAGTGAGTGCAGAGCTGGAGTGCAGTGCTGCAATCACGGCTCCCTGAAGCTTGACCTTCCAGGCTAAGGTGATCATCCCACCTCAGCCTCCTGAGTAGCTGGGACCACAAGCACACACCACCACACCTGGCTAGTTTTTTGTTTTTGTTTTTGGTAGAGATGGGGTTTCGCCATGTTGCCCAGGCTGGTCTGAAACTCCCGGACTCAAGCGGTCTATCCCCTTGGCTTCTCAGAGTGTTGGGATTATAGCTGTGAGCCACTGCACCCAGCTTGCTTTTGGAACTTCTGTTCAGAATTGTACTGGAGTCTGTAGTTGGGGCAATTAGGAAAAACAAAGAAGCATCTGGTTCATAAAGGAAGAAATAAAACTGTCTCTACTGTCAGATTACATAATATTTTACATAGAAAAGCTTAAGGAATCCACTACAAATTATTACAACTCATAAAAAATTGTATCACAATTGCAGGATATAAGCTCAACATACAAAAAAATCAGTTGTATTTTTATACATTTGCAATGATAAATCCAAAAATGGAATTAAGATAATTCTATCCACAATAGAATACTTAGGAATAAATTTAACAACAAAAGTGCAAAACATATTCTGAAAACTACAAAACATGGTTGAAAAAAATAAAGAAGATCTAAACAAATGAAAAAACATTCCATATTCATGGATTGGAAAACTTAATATAGTTAAGATGGCAGTACTCCTCAAATTTATCTACAGATTCAATGTAACCCTTATCAGAGTCTCAGATGACTTCCTTATACAAATTGACAAGCTGATTCTAAAATTCATACAAAATTATAAGGGGTCCAGACTGACTTAAACAATCCCCAAAAACAATAATAAAATAGGAGTACTCACACTTCCTGATTTCAAAACTTATGAAAGCAATGATAATAAAGACAGTGTGGTATTGGCAGAAGGATAGATATGAGTAGAATTGAGATTACAGAAATAAACTCATACATCTATGGTCAACTGATTTTCAACAAAGATGCCAAGAGCATTCAGTGGGAAAAGAATAATCTTAACAAGTGGTGCTGGGACAACTGGATAATCACATAGAAAAGTATAAATCTCAACCCTTACCTCACATCATAAACAAAAATTAACTCAAAATGATCAAAGAAGCCTAAACCCCCCAAATAAAGCAAGACCCCCATCTCTACAAACAAATTAAAACGTAGCCAGTTGTAGTGGCACACCTATAGTACCAGCTACTCAGGAGACTGAGGCGGGAGGATCACTTGAGCCCAGCATTTTGAGGCTGTACTGAGCCATGATGGCACCACTGCACCTCAGCTTGGGCCACAGAGTGAGACCCTCTCTAAAATAACAAAAACAACAACAACAAAAATGGATGAAAGACCTAAACATAAGGGCATAACTAGATAACTTTTTAAAGAAAATATAGGGATAAATTTTTGTGACATGTGCAAACATCGTGTCTTATTCCTGATCTTAAGAGGAAAGCATCCAGTCTTTCAGATTTGCCAAATGATTCATAGATATGAAAACAAAGCATGAGCAACAGAAGGGAACAAAAATAGAAAAAGATAGATTAAGACTTCATCAAAATTTAAAACTTTTGTGGTTCTCCCACACAATGGAAGAAAATATTTGCAAATCATATATCAGATAAGGGACTTGTTTTTAGAATATATGAAGAGCTCTGACAACTCCATGATAAAAAGACAAATATCCCAATTTTAAAACATGCAAAAGATTTGAACAGACATTTCTCCAAAGAAGATGTACGATTGGCCAATAAGCACATGAGAAGATGCTCAACCTCATTAGTCACCAGGGAAACACAAATCAAACCCACAATGAGATACCGCTTTATACCCGCTAGGGTGGTTAGATTAAAAAGTCAGATAATAGTAAATGTTTGCAAAGATGTGGAGAATTTGAAACTCTCGAGCATTGCTGTGGGATACAAAATGGTCCAACTGCTTTGGAAAACTGCCTGGCAGTTTCTGAGATGATTAAAGATAGAGTTATCCTATGACCCAGCAATACCATTCCTAGGTATGCACCCAAGAGAAATGAAAACGCATCCATAGAAAAACCTGTACACAAACTTTTATAGCAGCGTTATTCATAACGGTCAAAAGGTAGAAACAACCCAAATGTCCATCCATGGGCAAATGGATAAAGAAAATGTGGCATAGCCATACAATGAAATAGTATTTGGTTATAAAAAGAAATGAAGTACTGATACCTGCTACAACCTGGATGAATCTTGAAAACATTATACTATGTGAAAGAAGTCAGTCACAAAAGACAACATAGTATATGATTCCATATGACGTGCCCAGAATAGATAAATCCATAGAGATGGAAAATAGATTAGTGGTTGTTTAGGGTTGAAGAGAGTAGATGGGGCAGGGTATCAATGCATGTTGGCTGAAGTTACAAGGGTTCTTTATGGGATGATAAAAATGTTCTAAAATTGACTTTTGTGATTGTTGCATATATCTGTGAATATACTATCAACATTTTCATGGGTAAATTGTATAGTGTGTGAACTATATCTCAGTAAATCTGTTTAAAAATATGTATAGACAGTCCCTGACTTATGATGGTTCAACTTACAGTTTTTTCAGCTTTACAATATGCATTCAGTAGAAACTGTACTTTGAGTACCCATAGGACTATTCTGTTTTTACTTTTGGTACAGTATTCCATAAATCACATGAAATATTCAGCACTTTCTTATAAGAAAGGATTTGTGTTAGATGATTTTGCCCAACTGTGGGCTAATGTAAATGTTCTGAGCACATTTAAGGTAGGCCAGGCTAAACTCTGATGTTTGGTAGGTTAGGGGTATTAAATGCATTCTCAACTTATGACATTTTCAATTTACATTGGGCTTATCAGGATGTAACCCCATCACAAGTTGAGGAGCATCTATATTAGCAAAGTCTCACAATTCTTTGGGTGTGTAAGCTGTTTCCTCTGGAATCCTGCTGTTCCTCTGGAAAATGCTGAGATTCGACACCTATTATGGGTCTGGGGAGTGATTGTAGCAGGCCTTGAGCATCCCCTTTCAAACCTTATGAGGTTATCACAGTGCTTTTAAGCAAAGAAGTGTCTTTTCCTCAGACACAGGAGAGCAAGCTAATTCCATTGGTAAGGAAGAAACAGAGTAGCTTGAGGGTTCAAGTTGTTGGTTTCATTTTGATCCAATCAGGCGACTCCATTCCAAATTTCAGGATCTCATTTGAGACAAAGTCTCACTCTCTTGCTCAGGCTGGAGGGTGGTGGCATAATCAAGTCAAGTCACTGCAACCTTGACTTCCTGGGCTCAAGTGATCCTCCTGCCTCAGCCTCTCGAGTACCTGGGACTACAGTTATGCACCACCATGCCTGGCTAAATAAATTTTATTTTATATTTTATTTTATTTTATTTTTGTTTAGTAGGGAAGAGGTCTCACTATGTTGTCCAGGCTGGGATCTCATTCTTTTTGTATTTTCTGTTTGTTTGTTTGTTTGTTCATTTTTTCAGATGGAGTTTCACTCTTTTTGCTCAGACTGGAGTGCAATGGTATGATCTCAGCTCACTGCAACAACCTCTGCCTCCCAGGCTCAAGTAATTCTCCTGCCTCAGCCTCCTGAGTAGCTGGGATTACAGGCACACATCAGCATGCCTGGCTAATTTTGTATTTATAGTAGAGACAGGGGTTTCACCATGTTGGCCAGGCTGGTCTCAAACTCCTGACCTCAGGTAATCCACCCGCCTCGGCCTTCCAAAGTGCTGGGATTACAGGCATGAGCCACTGCACCCGGCCTGGGATCTCATTGTTTTTCATCAATGCCCTTTCACATGAAAAACTTTGTGAAAAACTTGGTGAAACTGTGAATTGAAATGATGTTGTAATTTAGCAACCTATGTGGTAAAATTTTTGTTTGATTTTAAGTGCTATTAGCCTAGTGCCTACAAGAAATAAGATAATCTTTTAGAGTTATCATGGAAGCTTTCTGGTTCTCAGGCTGTAATATAACCAGAAACTTTCTGGTTCTCTGGTTTATGCCAAGAATTAAAGAACACAAGTTCTAAATTTTCTTTTGGTAAGCAATCAAGCGTCCTCAAAAGAATTTTCCCCACATCCCAGTCTTTATGGTCATGATTACTACTGTAATGGTCAAGTGCTGCTGTCACCTGGTCTCCCAAGGCACATGCTTCTCTTGTCACTTAATTACAGGTGACAGCATAATTAATTGTGATGTCACTGCATGCCATGGATTACTAACATACCATTTCCCACTGGTAGACATGTTGGAGTCCAAAAGCACAGCAAAATGCATCTCCAAATCTTATCTTGGTGGGGTTATCTTCTGGGACCACTTCTGGTATCAATTCCATATAGTCAGAGTCCAAACAGGAGACAGAAACAACACAGTAGTTTTAACAGGGAATATGTAAAAAAAATTATTAATTATAACAGGAGTTTACCAACTAAAGGAAAAAGAGAATACTGAAGACTAAAGTACTATGACCCTGCCACATCCCCCTCTCCGAGAAACACCCAAGAATGATCAATACATACTATTTAAAAAAAAAAAAGACTAAAGTATTTCTCCAGTGCCCTGTACTGATAAAGCTTCATATAATTCCAGATGGCAAGGGAGAACAGTTACAGTATTACAAACAGGACAATGTAGGGAGGACTTAGAACTAAGAGACAATGGACTGATAATGGTGCATTGAGCATTGCTTTCTTATCAAATCTGACAATCTCTGCCATTCAATTAAATGTTTATCACTTATATTTAATGTAATTCTCAATATAGTTAAATTTAAACCAACCATCTTGCTATTTATTTTGTTTGTCCCATCTGCCTTTTGTTCTCTGCTTGCCTTTTTTTGGATTGAGGTTTTTCTCCAAATTGATTTCATTTTTATCACCATTATTGGCTATTTGTTTATATATATGTATAAAATGACAAGTGTTGATGAGGATGTGGAGAAACGAACCCTCATACATTGTTGGTGGAAATGTAAAATGTCACAGCTATATATACATATATATAATATATATTTATATATATAAATATATGTTATATATATAAATATATATTTAAGAGCTGGGGTCTCACTCTGTAACCCAGGCAGTAGCACAATCATAGTTCACTGCCATCTTGAACTTCTAGCCTGAAGAAATCCTCTTGCCTTAGCCTCTCAAAGTGTTGGAATTACAAATGTGAGCCACCATGCTCAGCCTAATTATTCAGTCTATATTTTTAGTGGTTTCCCTAGGATTTACTATATATTGTTTAACTTATCAAAGACTAACTGCAAATAGTATTATACCACCTTACGTATTATGTATATATTGCTGAATCAAATGATTAGGTTTAACTTTTTTAGGAATTGCCAAACTGTTTTCCAAAATGGCTGTGACACTTTACATTTCCACCAACAATGTATGAGGGTTCCAGTTTCTCCACATCCTCATCAACACTTGATATTATCTTTTTTTATTCTTGCCATCCTAGTGAGTGTGAAGTGCTACTTCATTTATTTCTGACTTGCATTTCTCTGATGATTAATGAGGTTGAGCATCTTCTCATGTACTTATTGGTCAGTTGTATATTTTCCTTGGAGATGAGTCTGTTCAGATCCTTTGACTTTTTTAACTGGGCTATTTGTGTTTGTACTTTTGAGTTGCCAGAACTCTTTATATATTCTAAATACAAGTTCCTTATCAGATATGTGATTTTCATATACATTCTCTCATTATGTAGGGTGTTTCTTCACTGTCTTGATGGTGTCCCTTGAAGCACAAAAATTTTAAATTTGGATGAAGTCCAATTTATTTTTTGTTTTCAAAAGCACTTTAGGCTTCCACACACTATTTCAAAAATAAAATAAAATAAAAGTTCCTTTGTGGAGAGATTTGGATATCTTTCTCTTATGGATTGTTTCTCTTTCTGATGAGCCAGTATTCTGGGGACTGGGCAGGGTGGTAGCCTCTGATATTCTTGGCTTTCCTCTCCTAGCATAGAACCTGTGCTCTATGAGTGAGCTGGAGCAAGATTTGGGGTCCCAGTGTTTTTGGCCTTCTGAATCTGGGATGGAGCCACTATTCTATGGGTTAGGGCTGGGTGTAGAAAGAAACCCCCCACTTCTCAGCTGCACTCATCCAGAATTTAGCTTCTTTAACTTGGAGTTGGGAGAGATGGGCAAAATGTTATTGGTCTGCCTCTCCCACTAATATGTGAAAATACTTGATTGGGAAGTGAGGGGAGAGGGAGCCTTGTCTTTTTGGCCACCCTCACCTTATGAGAAGATTCCATTAAGCTGAGCTGAAGGTGAAGGAAAAGGGAATAGTTATGTGTCAAATGCCATAGACCTGCTGTTCTTATTGAGTTAGTTTTAGTGACGTCCCCACATACTATCTTTATAGTCATGATTACTGTTATGGTCAAGGGCTGCTTTTGCTCCTGGCCGGGAGATGAGCTCAAAGGTGAGCCAGGCCGAGGAGATGCCCCAAGGCAGAGTGGGAGCCTGACTTTCTTCATTTGCTCTATATCCTTAGGACAATTTCCAGAGACTTTAAAGGTTAATTTTTAAAAAGCAGTTTTCACCAACATTGCTTGTTTCACAGGCAAGTGGGCTCATGGAACTCTTCACATTGCCTCCAAGAAGTGGAACTCTTCACTTTTTTACTTTTAAGTTATTTGTATCTTTATGTTTCAAGTTGAATCTATTAAAAGGAATAACCTTAGACAAGTTAAATTTAACAGTTTAATTGAGCAAAGAGTGATTCATGGATCAGACAGTTTTTGGAACCAGAACAGGCTCTAAGAACTCCAGCCTGAAGTGTGGTGGGATACCCACATTCCCCTCCCAAGAGAAAGCAGCCAGGCCAGGTGCCCTCAGAGAGCGCCAGAGGAGGAAGGCGGGTCTGGCCTCAGCCTTCTTCTCAGTTTCAGTCTCCCCGACCAGGCCCTCCCAGGTCTAAGCAGGAGAATCTCAGACTGTTCCTCCCCACAATTGTGCAAGTGCTTACTGGACCCCATGCCCAAGAGAGCTGTGTGGTCCCCCATGCCCCTTTCTAGCACTAGCCTAATAAATTGTATTGATGACCCCAGGGCAGCCTGTAGGCTCTATCAACTCAACATGGAATAATCGACTTGGGAGCTTGTCAGAGCGAAGGATTCGAGATGGAGCCCAATGCCTGAGTTTGATACATTGGGACTGAGGCCTGGAAGATCACAAGGATGTGATCAAAGATAACAAGAATAGGAAGACAAATAGAAAAAATAGAAAGACAAATGCCACATGATCTCACTCATTTGCGGACTTTAAAAAGCTGATGTCATAGAAGTAGAGAGTATAATAGTGGTTACTATGTGCTGGGGAAGGAAGGCGGGATGGGGGAGATTGGCCAACAGGTACCAAATTACAGTTAGATAGGAGGAATCAGTTCTGGTCTTTTCTTGCACAGTAGCATGACTGTAGCTAAGGACATTGTATTGCATATTTCAAAATAACTGGAAGAGAGGGTTTTCAGTGTTCTCACTACAAAGAAATGATAAATGTTTGAGGTGATGAATAAGCTTATCACCCTGATTTGATCATTACGCAATGTACGCATGTATCAAAACATCATACTGTGTCCCATAAATATGCATCGTTAAGAGTCATTTAAAAATAAAAAAAATTTTAAACCCAGTGGCCTGAGATCTGAGTCAAACCCTGGCTCTCCTGACTCCAGATCTTCCCACTGTACCAAACAGAAAGGTGATTAAGAAAAAAGATTGGTCAGGCACAGTGGCTCATGCCTGTAATCCCAGCACTTTGGGAGGCCCAGGCAAGAGGATCACTTAATTCCAGGAGTTCAGGACTCGCCTGGGCAACACAGTGAAACCCTGCCTCTACAAAAAATACAGAAATTAGCTCAGCATAGTAGTGTGTGCCTGTAGTCCCAGCTATTCCAGAGGCTGAGGAGGTAGGATTGCTTGAGCTCAGGAGGTTGAGGCTGCCATGAGCTGTGGTAAAGATTGTGCCACATGTGCACCCCAGCCTGGGCAACAGAGTGAGACTCTGTCTCATAAAGAAGAAAAGAAAAAAGATTGACTTGTAAAACCAAGAATGCTTCAGACCCTTCAACAGGGAATTGATAAGTATGTTAACCAACAAAGGAATACAGCTATTAGACAAATGAGAAAGGTCTCTCTGTTAACAGGGAAAGATGATGATGATGAGTTGAAGCAGGATATGGAACAGCCTGTCAAGTATAATCCATTAACATACACGTGTACACACACACATACACACACACACACGCACACACACACACAGATTTCTATAAGCAAAAGACTATGGAAGGATATGGCCAAACTCTGGACAGTGCTGGTCTGGGGGATGTTGGGCTACTGGGAGTAGCCCACACTCTGCTTACTGTCTTTGTTTCCATTTCACATTGTGCAGGCATTGTTTTTATAACCAAGGGCGAAAAACACAATCTTGCCACTTGGCAGGTGCATGAGGCCCAGGTATCCCTGTACTGGGGAGGTCAGGGTTTACCTGGGACTTGGGAGAAAAAAAAAAATTCCCTTTTGTCCCCTGCACTGGTTCCCTGCCACCTGGAAGTTGCAGTTTTCAGCTTCGGCCACCAGAGGGCAGCAGGGAACCAGCTGATTGCTGCGAGAGGCTGGAACGCTGGAGAATTCTGAGCTGGCAAGTTTGTTGGGGTGGGGCAGGCAGACCCAGTTTGAAGCAGCCTCCACCATTGTGCGGGGCTGTGGTCAGGTTCCCAGGGAGAGGATGACCAATTACATGCTGAGCAAGGGTCCTTTGCCTCAGCACAATGGGGAAACTGAGGCAGAAGGCCAGTTGGAACTGGACTAATAGGCTGTGGCTGCCTGGGGAGGGGAGATGAATGTCCCACAGGCCAGAGAGAGTCAAGAAACCCAAGTCCCTCCCTGGGGCTTCTCTTTGTCATCTTGTCAGGGTGAAGGTTCCAGAAAGCATGGCTCAAGGGCTAACAAGTGGAGGCAGAGACAGAGGGAATCATGGGGCCCATTTAGAGGTAGCACAGGCTGAAGTGGCCATAACCCTCCATGACCAGAGCAGTAGTTAACAATTCCTGAGCACACCTCATGTGCCAAGGGCTTAGCCATTGTATCTCAACTAATCTCAACGGTGACCTCGGGTAGGTAGAAGGGTATTAGTATCTCCATTTTACAAGGGAGGAAACTGAGACTCAGAGAGGGAAGGTGGCTTGCTTAAGATGGCGGCTGATAAGTAGTGATGTTGTCACTCAGGGTCCAGCCCCTCTGGCCCCAGAGTTCTTGCCCAGGATAAGAGTGCAGAGGGAGATGGAGTTCCAGGCAGGCACCATGGTCCTGGACTTACAAGGCAGGACTTGGACCCCGGGTTGCCCCACCATCTGCAGGAGCTGAGTGTGGAGGGTTGTGGGGCCCCTGCTAGTGACCAGGGAGAGGATGGGGGTTGTTGAGAAGATGGTAGAGGGGAATCTCAGCTCCCAGCTTTGAGTGCTTCTGGGATGGGGCATGGGGAGGGTAACTGGCCTCAGTACAGGGCTCCAGGAGGCTGTAGGGCCAGGCATGGAAGGGAAGGAGGAGCAAGTGTCCAGGGAGAGACGGCACAGGGGCCTGGCCTGGCTCGATCACGCTGGACACAGTGGGAACAGGAGCAGAGCTGCCCCCACCCCCAGGAGCTCCTGAGAACTTAGTAAGGAAGGAGGTGGAGGGAGGGCTGGGGCTCCCCTGGGTTCTGGCTTCCACATAGGCCTTCAACAACCATGGGGCCGGCCCTAGATGGATCATGACTCAGCTACTACAGGGAGGTAGGCAGGCCAGGTTGGGCAGTGAGGAGAGGCCCAGGACAGACAGAGAGGGCTAAGAGAAGGCTGGTGGCTGCCTGGCTGTCTGGGAGGGCAGTATAACAGCAGGAAGCAGCAGGAGGCAGGGGTTAGGCCTGGGCCTGAAATGCCCCTGGTGTTAGGGAGTGGAGGGGGAGAGGTTCTGGGAGGGGTCGGGGGGGGACTTTGCTACTTGCTACCTCTATGATCTTGGACAAGTCACTTGACCTCTCTGAACCTCGGCTTCCCCATCTGTAAAATGGGAATCCTTATAGTACCCACCTCCCAGGGCTGTTACAAGGACCAAAACTGATGTGTGTGAATCACTAGCACCATGGCTGCCATACCAGCTCCTGGCTGGATGTTGGCAGCGACTCTTACACGCTCGTTTACTCCACATTGAACCTGACCGTGTGCCAGGCCACAGTGAGCACTGGAGGTCGGCAGTGAAGCAAGCCCAAGTAGCCCCTCTAGAGGAGGTAGTCAGGACTGTGGAGCATGCTGCGTGGGGTGAAGATGTGGAGGGACCCGGCTCCCACTCTGCCTTGGGGCATCTCCTCGGCCTGGCTCACCTTTAAGCTCACCTCCTGGCCAGGAGCAAAAACAGACACAAATCAGAGAGAGCAGTACAGCAGATCCCAGGTTCTCCTCCGGACCCTATTCCAGATTGTTTAAGAGCAAAGCCCAGACACTGCCTCATTTCACCCGTAAATTCTCCAAAATTTAAGACAGAACATTTTTTACATGATCCCAATGCCATTATGACACCGAACAAAATGCAGATTCTCTCAACTGCGTCAACTGTGAGAATGGACTTTTGCTCACTGTGTGCAAGGCCTGGGTGTGACATTGCCTGCCTACCTGGGGTCCTCAGCCCATGGGAAGGCCTCAGGGCCTGTGGGGAAGGAGATGAGCAGATTCACGTGACATTCGTTACCCTGCTGGGCAGGATCCCCACCCTACTGCAGTGCCCTTCCAGCTGGAGAGGGGCCCCAGGCCCGCTGCCCCCATGGGACTCCTGATGGTCTGTGGCTGTGTGTGTTTGTGGGCTGTGCATGTATGAATATGTGCAGGCTTGAGTGTGCAAATGGGTGTGTATGTGAGGGTGTCAACAGTGTGAGATGTGTATGAGTGCATGTGTGAGATGCATGTGAGTGCGTGTGTGAGATGTGTGTGTGGGTGTGAGATTGTGTGTGCATGTGTGAGTGCACGTGTGAGATGTGAGTGCCTGTGTGAGATGTGTGTGTGAGATGTGTGTGTACGTGTGAGATGTAAGTGCGTGTGTGAGATTTGTGAGTGCATGTGTGAGATGTGTGTGCACGTGTGAGATGTGTGAGTGCATGTGTGAGATGTGTGTGCACATGTGTGTGGGTGTGAGATGTGTGAGTGCAGGTGTGAGATGTGAGTGCGTGTGTGAGATGTGTGTGCACGTGAGATGTGTGAGGGTGTGCATGTGAGATGTGTGTGAGTGCACTGCAAGATGTGTGTGTGCATGTGGGAGATGTGAGTGCGTGTGTGAGGTGTGTGCACATGAGATGTGTGAGGGTGTGCATGTGAGGTGTGAGTGCACATGTGAGGTGTGTGGGTGTGCATATGAGGTGTGAGGATGCATGTGTGAGATGTGTGAGGGTGTGCGTGTGAGGTGTGTGGGTGTGCATGTGAGATATGAGTGCACGTGTGAGAAGTGAGTGCACATGTGAGATGTGTGAGGGTACACGTGTGAGATGTGTGTGGGTGCGCATGTGAGATGTGAGTGCGCATGTGAGTTGTGTGAGGGTGCGTGTGAGATGTGTGCATGCGTGTGTGAGATGTGAGGGTGCGTGTGTGATGTGTGGGTGCACGTGTGAGATGTAAGAGGGTGCATGTGTGAGATGTGTGAGGGTGCACATGTGAGATATGTATGTGGGTGCGTGAGTTGTGTATGAGTGCGCGTGTGAGATGTGTGTGAGTGCGCGTGTGACATTTGAGGGTGCGAATGTGAGATGTGTGAGGGTGCACGTGTGAGATGAGGGTCTGTGTGTGAGATGTGTGAAGGTGCACACGGGAGATGTGTGAGGGTGCGCATGTGAGATGTGTGAGGGTGCACGTGTGAGACGTGTGGGTGCGCGTGTGAGATGTGAGTGCACGTGTGAGATTTGTGGGTGCGTGTGTGAGATTTGTGGGTACACGTGTGATATGTGAGTGTGCGTGTGAGATGTGAGTGCGCATGTGAGATGTGAGGGTGCACATGTGAGATGTGTGAGGATTCACGTGTGAGATGTGAGGGTGCATGTGTGAGATGTGGGTGTGTGAGATGTGTGAGGGTGCACGTGTGCGGTGTGGGTGCGTGTGTGAGATGTGTGAGTGCACGTGTGAGATTTGTGGGTGCACGTGTGAGATGTGTGAGTGCGCATGTGAGATGTGTGGGTGCACGTGCGAGATGTGTGGGTGTGTGAGATGTGTGTATGAGATGTGAATGCATGTGTAAGATGTGTGAGGGAGCACGTGTGAGATGTGTGAGTGCATGTGCGAGATGTGTGGGTGTGTGAGATGTGTGTGAGAGATGTGAGTGCACGTGTGAGATGTGTGGGTGCGTGTGTGAGATGTGTGTGGGTGTGTGTGTGAGATGTGCGAGGATGCGTGTGAGGTGTGTGAGCATGTGAGATGTGAGTGCACTGTGAGATGTGAGGGTGCACGTGTGAGCTGTGTGGGTGTGCACATATGAGATGTGTGAGTGCACGTGTGAGATGTGTGTGGGTGCATGTGTGATGTGTATGGGATGTGAGTGAGCGTGTGAGATGTATGGGTGCACGTGTGAGATGTGTGTGAATGTACGTGTGGATGTGTGAGTGTGCGCATGAAATGTGTGTGGGTGCGTGTGAGATGTGTGTGTGCGTGTGAGATGTGTGAGGGTGCCCGTGTGAGATGTGTGTGTGTGAGATGTGTGAGGGTGTGGGTGTGAGATGTGTGAGTGTGTGTGTGAGATGTGCGAAGGTGCGCGTGTGAGATGTGTGAGGATGCGTGTGTGTGTGGGCAGGGGGAAGCAAGTGGCCCTGACATCTCAGTTGGGATCCAGCCTCAGAACAAACGGCAGGGAAAGTGTCGAGAGTGGCCTTTATACCCAAGCGCAGCCCGTTCTTGGCTCCCTCCAGTTCTCTGGGGGAGTAGCAAGGACACCTGACTTTGGAGAGATGGCAAGCCCACCTCGGCCCTCATTCCCTTCATCTGGGGTATTCCCTGCCCCTTCTCCCCACTTCCAAACACCTGGGCAGGAGCCGGGCACAGGCTGCACAGGAGGCAGCCCCTGGAAGGGTGGCATTCAGATGCCTAGCCCTGGGTTTACCAGGCTGTAGGGAGGAGGACCAGGGTCTCTGAGGAGGGCAGGTGGGGGCTTGACTCCCCAGCAGACTATGGGTCCCAGGCTTAGCTCAGAGCTCTGGGCCAGGTCCCAGGACACACTGACAGACAGCTGTTTGCTGAAGGAAGGACTGGACAGGCTGGTGGGAATCCGCTCGGTGGCCCTGGTCAGGATCGGAAACAGCGCAGACAGTGGAGGTTGAAGGGTGTGGTGGAGGTCCCTGCTTGTCAATCTGGGGCAGCAGGGCTTCCCCAGGCCTCAGTTTATGCACCCGACATACTGACATGTTGTTCTCTGCCCTGGCTTCTGCCAGGACTGTTAGGAGGATGCATGAGGCCAGAAAACCGGGAGGAACTCCAGCCTATGGCCGGAGTCCAGCGCAGAAGCCGGCTGGTAGCCTGAGCCTGGGAGCTTCAGCACCACAGTGGGGGCTGGTGGGAGAGAGGTGGCCACCCCAGGGCTGTGTGCGGGAGCTGCCCAGGTGTCTCCTGCCACTCAGTGTGTCCTGATTGCCCCCAGCTTACAGATAAGGACATGAGGCTCTGTGTCACACATTCCAAGTAGAGCCTTGTCAGGGTCCTGCCAGGGGGGGCCCTGGGCTCCCGATGGGCTCTGGTGCTCAGGCGGTTGAGCTCCCGCTGTCTCTCCCCAGGCCAGGTCTCCCCTCTCTGTGTCTGGAGCAGATGCCAAGGGGGCTCCTCACAACCTGGCAACCATCACCACTTGGCACCAACCTACCCCACCTCCCTTCCTCCTGCCTGGTCTCTTGCCCTTTGAGACCACCCAGCCCTGGACCCTCACTCCTGGTCTGACCTTTGCAACTCTGTGTCTGTCCCAGCTCTGCCCTGATACGCTGCACTGGGAGGTGAGAACTCCAAGTTCAATCAAATCCTGGCTCTGCCACCTGCCTGCTGGGTGAGTGTGCTAGGTGAGACCTTTCCCGGTGGGGCCTCAGCTTTAGCCCAGAGCAGGGCCACCCTCTCTGGATCCCTTGCCGGCCATTTCTTTGGTGGACTCTGCTCTCTCCTGGGTCCTCAGCAGCCAGCTGCCTCTGGATATGGGCACTGAGTCCAACCGGAAATCCTTCCTGTCCAGGGAGTTACTGGTTTCCACGGCTCCAGGAGATGTTGAAATGCAGGCTGTTTGCCTTGGGTTTGTGTTCTTTCCACAGAAAACAAAACAAAACAAACACACAGGCGCATGCACACTGCCACACACTCAAAGACAAGGGCATGTCATCAAATAACAGCCCTGAAGCCCCAGCCTCAACATGCATGGGTGCCCAGTCAATGCTTACTGGGTGCGCAAAAGCACCTGGGGCCCTGGGTTCGAGGCCTGGCTCCCTGCGGAATCCCTGGTGTGATCACTGGTCGGATGCTTCTGCCTGAGCCACAGACAGTGGGAACAGGAGACCCACACTCCCCGGGCCCCTCCTGGGTGCAAGCAGTGCGCTTTGTCTTGTGTTCAGTGGGTTGTCTTATCCACACAACACCCCGGGGAGAGCTGGGGCTTGGAGAGGGGGAAAGCCACCCAGTGTCACACAGCTGGGGTGGCAGGGCTGGCCTGGTGGCAGTGCTGAAGGGGACAGGAGGACCCTGAGACAGACACCGGCTCTGTTTCCTCAGATCTGCCCAAGAAGAGCAATAGCCCCACCCAGGCTGCTGGAGGACTTGAGCTGGCAGAGGGCATGGTGTGGAGGAGGGGGTCCATTCTCCTCTCACCCTGGCGGAGATGGGTCCCCTCTCCACTCCCTTGCTGGGCCCGACTGGCAGCCACCTGCTTTCAGGCCAGTGACTCTGGCCATTCCACACACTGAGGGCAGGCACCGCGCAGGGAATTCTCTAGATGCAAATCAGCAGGAAGGGGCTTTGTTCTGGGATTTGCTCTGTACCCCAAATAAGACAGGAGGTCTGGCCTTGGTGGCCTCTGTTCCTGCCTTTCCCTCCCCCTTCACATCCATGGTCCCTGACCCCAAGGACTGGCATTTTGTTTTCTCTGCTCCATCTCAGAGGCCACAGTCAGGGGCCGTGGGATGGCCCATAGGGATGTGCTTTGACTTCTACACTATTCAAAAATCCAGTTAACTCTTTAACTCGTTGCCAAAATTTAAAACATGGAAAATTTCACATAACAACTGGGATTTCCAGTTTTTCTCCTGCTGCCCCTCCCTCCCTCCCCAGGCAACAACATTCATAGATAGCAACAGTTGGCTGGAGCTGAGGACCGGGCGCCCCCTTGACAGGACTCTCTGCCCCCTGCCTCCTCCCCATCACCGTGGGTCCCACAGGAACACTAGGGACCATCTGAAGTCCAGTGCTGCTCAACTTTGGATGCACAATGGACTGAGCTGGGGGGCTTTACAAACTCAGACACCCTGGACCACTTCCTTGGCCTCCCTGGGGTGGGACCAAGGCATGATGTTCTTAAAGCCCCGCAGGTGACTCAGGTGAGCAGCAAGGTTGAGAACAGCAAGAGCCGATGCTGGGCTTTGCAGGTGGGTGGCTGCTGATAGTCTTGCTTCGTTGTGGTTCCCCATGACCCTCAGCAGGAGCCCCACCTCATGACAGCCCAGGCTTTGGTCAGAAGAGGGGCCCCTGCCCCGTCTCCCCTGGACTGATCTGTTTGCTCACTGTGTGATGCTCCCTGTCTGGGCCCATATCCTGATCTTGGCCGAGTGTGCCAAGTGGGAGCGGCCCAGGGCTGCCGTCTCTGAGGCAGATTCACTCCTATATATGGTCACCCGGGAGTCCCCCCGCTGAGTGAACGCGTGACCTCATCTGCCGACAATCTCACCCAGTCTGGGGCCAACCTGGGGAGGGCCGTTGCCCTGGAGAGTGTACAGTTGGGGGCAGAGAGGCTGGGAGGAGGCAAATCAATGGCATGGAGGCAGGGCAATGACAAGATGACCCAGACCCAGGGGAGCTGAGGCCAGCCCCAAGTCTCTCTGATGCCTGCCCCGTCTCCTGCCTCTGAAAGAGTCCAGCCTCCCTACATGCTTGCGTGAACAAGGAAACCTGTGAGCCTCTTTTGCTTTTAAAAGTCCTTTTAATACAGCATGAAGAGGCTATATTTCTATAGGCGAGCCGTATACAGATTCTCCAGGAATAAGGCACACAACGGAATGCCATCCCAAGGGCTGCACTTCGGAGACGTCGGAGCCTTCTCCACGCACCTTCCGAGCTGGGCCCACGGGTTCTGTTTTGTCTTTTTAGCTGGACTCACACGTATGGACAGACACAGACACGGACGGGGTCACCGCATGGGGGCGGAGGAGGTCGGACGGCAAGGTTGGCAACAGAGAAGGATAAGCCCGCTGCCACAGCCCCCAGGGGACCGCTTGGCCATCTCGCTGAAGGCTGGAACACCCCCATTTCAGGGTTAGTCGTTGGACTGAGCTACAATGTAGTGAGGTTGGATTAAATATTCGTTTAGAGTAGATTCAAGTCTATTAGATGCTGGAGGGCTGGTGTAAGGGCTCCGGTTGACATTTCCAAGTTCAAGGAGCATGGCCTGGAGGAGGCGTGGCTCAGATGGCAAAGCTCCCGAGCGGCGAGGCCAGGCTTTGCCCCACTTCTTCTTCCCTCCTGGGGCCCTGCTGATTGAGAGCCCTCCCACCAAGCCAAGACGCTGGTGGACCACAGAGGGGCTGGTTAGTCAAATAAGCTGCTTCTTCCCCTTGCCCACTCCCTGTCCCTCTACAAAATTAATAAAACCGTAATAACAAGATAAGAAGAAGAAGGTGCAAGAGAATGGATTACAATGCTGTTTGTTATCCTCAGTGGAAGAGGCACAAAGGGGTCACCATTCCCTTTTTCACTATGTATCGAATTATAGCTTCCCTTAAAAAAGGCAATACTTTCCAAAATACACATATGTATAAATACAGGACAAGAACATATTAATAAGTCTAAACACTTGAATAATATGCTGTCTACTTAATACTGATATTTTCATCCAGGGAAAACAACACAGAAAAACAACAATATGGCTTAAAGAATTGCAAAGATTTTTTTTCCTCATCAGAATTATGTACCAACTTCATATAATATTCTATGTAGACAATATTTCCTTCTGAATGTAGTTCAGTTGCATATTTTTACAGACCAAAGCATAGTAAAAAACAAACAAAAACCAACCAAAAACCCAATAACGGGAAACAGAAAAGTTCTCACCATAAATATTTTCTTGCAGCTCAACCAGAAGGTTGGCAAAATACTTCCAGAAATCTTTGTTTGATATTCTCTTGCCCTCCTGAAAGTTCTGAAATTTTGAAAATGCCTCTCTTTTTGTTTGTTTTAATCTCAAAAATCAAACAATTATATTTTTCTTTTCTTTTTTTTTTTTTAAAAAAAGGCCCTCAAATATATACAGACAAAAAATTACTGTGAAGATTTTTTCGGGAAAAGCTACCAAATTCAGTGTTGTGAGAAAAACTGGTAACCATGCAGAAATTTTAACATCTATGAATTTTTTTTCCAAAATACACACATATTTTTTTAAAAAAGGAATTCTGTGTCAAGTATAACTCAAAATAAATACAAATTCACAAGTAGAACTATTGAATACTTCATATGGGGTAAACACCATTATCTCCCAACTAGATCGCTAGATCTACCAACTGCAAGCGATTGTCCCTTTTGAACGTACTAAAACCACACACTTTCCCATCCCCTGGGCTCCTGGCCCTCTGAGCACTTAATTCTCAATGGCACCTGGCCTGCATGGCAGGGGCTTTGCTGACCACAAGAGAGTTCCCCAGTTCAGCCAGAGCCGAGTCAAGGGGAGTATGGAAGGTGGGCCTCAAAGCGGGAACCCCAGCCCCCAAGGTGGCTGGCTCTGCACAGATGGCAGGGCAGTGGCTACCTGCTGAACAGCTCACTGGCAAGGTCACTTTGGGGTGATATCCCAACTCCCCTTAGCCCGTGCAGGGAAGCCCTGGCCTCCAGTGGTCTGGGGCCTGGGTTAGTTTTAGGGTGTGGGCCCCCCACCTTTGCAGCACAGCTGGCAGGCCCCAGGCATCCTTGGGCCAAGGTCCCCCATGGCCGGGTCCCTGGAAGGGTTGGCACAGGCACGCCGCCCACCACTGCGAACATTCTCTTTAGCAGTGCGGTAGGATGACTGTCAGTGGCAGCTTCTCCTTGGGACAGAAGCCTGGGCCGGGGCCAACCCCAGCTCACCTCAACACCTTGGAGAAGACGGGGAACAACGTGCTCGGGGAGTCCTCAGTGGCAGTCCCCAGTGGTGGCAAGGGTGTCCACAGCCTGCTGCCTGGCCTGGAGCAAATACCTTTTTTAAGTGCTCAGAGGGTATGGCCCCTCAAATCCACCCTGCAGCTCCCTGGCTGCAAATACACTCACTCCATCTTTTCAACTCGCTCCCTGGACCCCTGGTTAACACTTCACTGTAACTCCTCAGTTGTACAAAGCATTTTCATTTGAATACAAAAGGCAACTGGACACCAGATGGGCATCCTTGAGCCATGGTAAACACTGAATTTCAGGCTCATTTCTTGGTCTGATTTTTTTTTTTTCCCACAGAGGCATAATGTAGGGGCAAAATCAAGAGACCCAGTTCTGACAGCCGGGAGAAAGGAAGGGTCAAGACCATGGAAACGGGGCTTCTCATCCGGGAGACAGAGGAGCGCACGATCCCGCCGCCAGCCAGGACAGTGGGCTCCCTGGCCACGGACGTGCCACGAGGCCTCTCTGCTCCCTTGGGAGGTAGGAAATTATTGTCTCCATTTTAGAAAAGAGGGGTTCTGTGGCTTGTCTCAGGGTTCTCCATGTCAGGGGCTAGGAGACCGAGGTGAGAAGGAGGGGGCTCCTCCATGTTTGCAGGGGTGGGGGATGAAAAGCAGGGCTGGGGCTGCAGGGGCCAGCAGGGGAGGACTCAGCATCCCTCAGCTTGACTTCCTAAGACACCAAGTGAAGGGTCACGATGCGGGGTACCTGGCACCTGGGAGGTTTCTCCCACCATTCTGGGTGAAACTCCCCAAATAAAGCTCCAGGACACAGCACCGGCCAGCCTGAATCCCAGAACAACAGAGCTGAAATGGGCCCTCTGCTCTCTAGTGTTATGCTGTCATTTAACTAATGGGGAAACTGAGGCCTGGAGATGCGAAGTCCTTGCCCAAGGTGACACAATGCGTCGGCAGCAGGGCAAAGACTTGAGCCGAGGTCTCCAGAACACCAGGCTTGTGTCCTTTCTGCTGGAACAGACA